>NW_003315919.1:0-173459 GCF_000001405.40 Homo sapiens
GAATTCCATTCTGAGTACGTCTATTTTGGCATGTACCAAAAGAAGAGCTCTTCTCACTGTTTTGCCCTTTTCATCAGATAATTAAATAAAATATGTAGCCACTTAGCCTGATTTCCAATGCATTCTCCACTTCATTGCCTTTTAAAATCATCTTAATAAACACAAGCTGAGGTGGAAAATATTAGCAACCTCATCAGGTTATTGTTGAAACTGGAAAAAAAAAATCCCCTTCTAACAAGATACCAACTGTTCAGTTTCCTCTTTAGGCATTTTCTTTCTTGTTCCAGAAAATATACACGATGTACACTGTGGGTTGTCTTAGTTACCTTTTCCTTTTTTTGGAAAGTGGGCACAGAGGACAGTGAGATCTAATTTTATACAATATTATTTCAATTGATGTACAAAATAGTCAATAATAGCTAGTAATAAGGAGGATGAAATTATAATTATGATCACAAATTGTTATGAATTTTAGATGATATTAAAAATATATTTCAAAAATAAGGAATATAAAATTTGGTGAGATTACTTAACTTTTTAAAGGTGACACACGGGGCTAAAGAAAAGGTAGAGTCTCTATTTGACTCCCTGTCTCGCAAACACCTAAGTCCATGACGAATTCACAGTAAAGCAAGGTATCACTGAATCTTTATTGTGGCCAAGTATCCTTCCTTTGCTTTGCTTTAGCAAAGCCCTACTTTCTTGCTTTTCTTCAGTGTTGCTTACTGAACAGGAAGAATAATAAATTGTGCGACTCTCTCTGGCATTTTTGATTGATAGAAGGAGAAAAGATCAATACTTCTGCTTTCTACATTTTAAATCATGAGGTCACCATGCTCAAACACTCTCCTCTACATTTCCACTTTGAATTAGGTCCAGCAAACAGAGCTATCATTTCTGAAGCTCATTAACCCTGCTTTGCTTTCTCGCTTTATCCTACACCTTTAGTTCTTAACCACGACTACTATGGAAATAAAAGAAAATATCATCCATTTATTTTAGAATTCATAACTAGAAGTACATGAAAATTTCATTAACTATTTTTGGTTTTGAAGTTAAAGTGATTGATTATTATATTCAAGTAAAAGTATTCACTTGGGCAGTCAGGAGGCCAATATATAATCTAGAATTGTAATAATTTATATACTTGATGATTTGATATATGTCCTGCATTTATCTACCACTGGCTCTAAACCAAGCCACCATCATTGCCTGTCCACGTAACAGAGTAGCCTGCTCATCATTGTACTTTTTCTATCCTTTCCTAACTTTGGTTTCTCCTCCACTCAGCAGCCAGAGGGAACCTTTTACAATAAAAGCCAGATTAAATTCATTGTTCAACTCAAAATTTTCCCCAATTTTTTTCATGAAACAGCCCACGTTCACATAATGGCCCATAAAGTCCTTCATGATCTGTCCTTCCAATCTCTCTCTGATATCAACTCCTACTACTCTCTCCTTTCCTTTTTTTTCAATCTATTCAGAAAAACCTGGGTTCTTCACTATTCTCCAATTATGCCAGGCATGCTTCTGCTTCAGGGCCTGGTTACTATCTGTTTCCTCTGCATACAGTGCTCTTCCTCCAGATATCCACATGGCTAACTCCATGACTCCTTTAAGTTTCTACTCAGATAAAACCTTCTCAGAAGGCCCACCATAATCATCCTATTTAAAACTGCCAAATCAAAGCACTCCTGATCTTTCTTATCATACTCTAAGGTTTCTGTCATAACACATCACTTTTATACATTATGTATTTATAATAAATTATTTGCTAGACTATAAGTTCCAGGAGGTAAAAGAACTTCATCTTCTCTGTTCATTGATGTATATTGAGCATTTAGGTAAGTGCCTTATACTCAGTATTTGCTGATTGAATGAATGAATGAGTTAAAACAAATCTTGAAGGATCTTTATCAACTTATTTAAGGTGGCCTGGGTTATAACACGGTGCATGTCACATAAAGAGAGTCTCATGCTTTGATATGAAACCAAGCTACTTTAACATAGACTACTCTGGGATCCAGGTACATAATTTCAGATACCCAATTATGCAGAATTAAACAAGTAATCATTATTATATATGTAGACGAATAAAAAGTAAAAATTTTTTAAAGTAAATTTCAATCAATTGTTCTATGGTAGAGAAGTCAAATAGTTTTCAACAAATGACGTTTCTCATTCTTTCTTTAAAATATCTGTAATAGTACTTATTTTACAGGACAATACATCTGTTACTAATAATGGTAAGTAATTAAATTTTATAATGATAACTAATGTTCATCAGTGTACCAATATATCCTTATCATAATTACCATCTCTGGCTTGGATTTTTATGTAACATCTTGCTGCTGCACAGATGGTATGGAGGAAACAACTGTCTTTGGTTGAGATTCTTGATAAAGTTTATAGTCTTTAAGCCTGGAAAAACTCCAAATCATGCAAGCATCTGCCTTTATACAAAGTATGAATATGAAATTCATCATACCACACCCTTAGCTTTATTTTCCTGCAAGCAAAATACTGTCTTTCTGTGACATTTGGTTAAGGTTAATGATAATGTAATATTCTCAGGTACTTATAAAATCTATACAATATGTAGCTACCATGTCTCTTTTGATTATGACTTCAAACTGGTTTCTTCAAACCGTTGTTTTTTTTTTTTAATGGTGTAAGGAAGATAAAAAGCAGATGGAATAGCAATAACAACAACTAAAGGACAGAAAAACCTAGCAACCACAAGGCAAGAGCAAGATAAAAATAAGAATAATAAAAGATAAATGCACGAATTCCTAAACACCTTCCTCCTCTTCTCTCAGGTAACACAAATGAAAGCCTTCTTACTAACAGTTTTCGGTTATCTCACTGTAGAAGGTAGTCTGCTGTAGAGAGTAATTCCATCTATCTACAGTGCTGTACTTGAAACTGATAGTCCCATATGGAGTTTTTTGGATACAGATTGAAATTAACCCTTATGGACTTAAAGCTTGAAGATTATATTTTTTTATATGAGTTCCTTCCTCAGAAAAGGACCTTCAGGCCTCCCCCGCAAAAAAATATCCGCCAGGCATGGTGGCTCATGCCTGTAATGCCAGCACTTTGGGAGACCAAGGCAGGTGGATCACCTGTGGTCAGGAGTTAGAGACCAGCCTGGCCAACATGGTGTAACCCCATCTCTCCTAAAAAATACAAAAATTAGCTGGGCGTGGTGGCAGGTGCCTGTAGTCCCAGCTACTCGGGAGGCTGAGGCAGGAGAATCACTTGAACTTGGGAGGCATAGTTTGCAGTGAGCCAAGATTGCACCATTGCACTCCCACCTGGGAGACAGAGCAAGACTCTGTCTCAAAAAAAAAAAAAAAAAAAATGTATCAAACAACTGAATCTCACCAGATCACGTCAGACAATGGCCAATGACCAAACCCCTTATTCATCATGATTGCTTACTTGCCCGTCCCTACTATCTGTTTTCTTACACATTGTTTTATTTGTTCCCTGCTATATACCCCTAGTTTTAGTCAGTCAGGGAGTTAGATTTGAGACTGAGCTCCCATCTCCTCAGCTGCAGCACCTGATTAAAGCCTTCTTCCTTGGCAATACTCATTGTCTCAGTCATTGCCCTTCTGTGTGGGAGGTAGCAGAACCCAGACCGAACCCCTGGTGTTTTGGTAACATACTGATGCTCTACAATTTAAACAACCAACAACCAACGTGAGGACATTAAAAAAAAGTCTTATTTTTATCCTCACATCTTTGGTTGTTTATAAATAGAAGAAACACTTACAGGATGAAAAAGAAAAGATATGAAAACATAAGCAGGGCAATTTATTTGTTGGTCCAAAAATACAGACACAACATGAAAATACTTTACAGTAGACTGGTATTGGCGGAACACATAAGCCTTGATATAAGCGAATGCTTTCCAGAGAAACTCACCTTCAACCTCGTTATGAAGAAGTCTCACAAATAATTTCTGGAAAAAAAACATACGGCTCACAACGAAAAATAACAAAGCACATAGGGAAAAGTTACCATAATTAAGAAATTACTTAAATAACCGTATGTATCCTATTGTTATTGTAACTAATTACTCCAAATGTAGTATCTTAAAACAACCCACATTTATCATCTTATAATTACAGAGGTTAAGAATTCCAAAAATAAAGGGGTCACCAGGGCTGCATTTCTTCAGGAGGTTCTGGTGGAAATCTGTTTTCTTGCCTTTTCCATATTGGAGGCAGGATGAATTTATTGGGTCATGACCTCTTTCTCATTTCCTGTAATCTCTCCCCCCACAATGATACTTTCTTCTCTGACTGTGATGCTACTGCCCTCCTGTGATAAGGAGCCTTGACATTACTTTGGGCATACCTGTATAATTCAAGATAATGTCTTCATCTTAATTAATTAATTAATTTAGAGAAGGAGTCTCGCTTTGTTGCGCAGGCTGGAGTGCAGTGGCAGGATCTCGGCTCACTGCAAGCTCCGCCTCCTGAGTTCACGCCATTCTCCTGCCTCAGCCTCCCCAATAGCTGGGACTACAGGCACCCGCCACCACGCCTGGCTAATTTTTTGTATTTTTAGTAGAGACGGGGTTTCACTGTGTTAGCCAGGATGGTCTCGATCTCCTGACCTCATGATCTGCCCGCCTCGGCCTCCCAAAGTGCTGGGATTTCAGGCGTGAGCCACCGCGCCCGGCCAGATATCAGAATTATTAAAATACCTATTATAAAATAATTATAATTATTTGTGTTTAAAGCAATAGAAGATTGGAAAAAATGCATGTATGGAACAAGAAACTAAAAATTTTCTAGCATATTTGCAAAAGTATGAAATGAAATGAGAACTCAGAAAGTTAGATTAAAAAAACACCAAATAGATGAGTATAATAGCACATATCCGAATATACAGTTAGTAAAATTATTTCAGAATAAATTTTCAAAAATACATGGAAAAATGTTCCATTTTCCCTTCTAGATGAAATTATCACAGTTCATTTTAAAATGCTCTTTAAATTCTGCGTGTACATTTATGTACTTCTCTGTATGTATGAAATCTTTAAAAATATCAGTGAAACTTTTGTGCGGTTGGACACAACAAAAGATAAACTTGAATAATTAAGTAGGAATCTCAAAGACATTAAAAAAATAAAAGTACAAGTTATGAAAGAAAGTTAATGTGGTATAGAATATATATAGAGGAGATTCAATATCTGGTCATAGTAGTTTGTGAAGGAATGAACAGATTGAATATAGGGGATTAATTTTTCTAGAAATTAGCAAATACTCAACTAGAAAATATGGGGCAGTTTCACCCAAATACATCTATAAATTTATTATAATTTTAGGTGTAAAACTATTTTAAGTAAAGTTATTGCAGAGTGAAAAAGAATAAAATTCAGAAAGCAATACAAATGAGATTTAGCATATTCTAAAGGTCATGCTAATTATTAATGGGTACAGAATCGACTGTTCTCTAACTACTGTTAAGACAACTAGGTTTTATAATGAAAGAGCTTTCAAAGTTTCTACCTCACCCAAATTATACTCTAGTTCAAGTCAAAATGTAAGTGTAAATCAACAATGATAATTATTATAAAAGCATAATAAAAAATAAATGAGAATATGTTCCTAATCTTAGTGTAGTATATCTCGACACAGCAAGATAAAGATATATTTATTCTTAGAGGTATCTCTTCTAGATTTGATAACATAAAACATTAAAAACTTATTTGGAAGAAGTGATCATAAATTATACAATTCAGCAGATATTTATAAGCCCCTAACATGTACTAACTGTTCAAAAATCTTGGTATATATGAGGAACAAAACATACAAAAATACTTGCTCTTATTAATTTTAAATTTACTGGAAAAACAGGGAATAAAAACATAAAAATAAATGATATATTCTTTTAGAAGGTTCTAAGTGCTATAAAAAAAGTCAGAGTAAAGATGATCTGGCCTGGCTTTTGTGGCAACGGGAGTGTGCTGAAATTAAATACAGTGGTTAGTGTAGGCCTCATTAAGAAGGTGATATGTGACAAAGACTTGGAGAGGTTAAGGGGTGAGAATCCAGAGAAAAGCATTCTAGGCAAAGAGAACAGTCATTGAAAATTCCAAATTCTTAATTTTTTTTTTTTTTTTTTTTTTTGAGACGGAGTCTCGCTCTGTCTCCGAGGCTGGAGTGCAGTGGCGCAATCTCGGTTCACGCCATTCTCCTGCCTCAGCTTCCTGAGTAGCTGGGACTACAGGCGCCCGCCACAACGCCTGGCTAATTTTTTGTATTAGAATAAAGACTTATAGAGACGGGGTTTCACCGTGTTAGCCAGGATGGTCTCGATCTCCTGACCTCGTGATCTGCCCGTCTCAGCTTCCCAAAGTGCTGGGATTACAGGCGTGAGCGACCGCGCCTGGCCGCAAATTCTTAATGTTTAGAGAACATCTAAGGGACTGAGTGCCTGAAGCAGAGCAAATATGGGAGAAAAAGTAGAAAACTGAATAAAATTAAACGAAATGAAGGGACAAATGATTTGTCAGGAGAAAATATTTGCAATATTTATAAGAAAAGGGTTTGTATCTTTAAAAGGAGTTCCAATGCCTGAATAGGAAAATAACAGACATCCCAGAAGAATACTGAACAATGCATACAAATAAGTACATCGCTGAAGAAGCAAACTGCCCAATAAAGTCTTCAATCTCTGTGGTGGTAAGAATGATCAGGAAAATAATAAGGTAAATACAAATAATTAATTACTTCCTATGTTTTTTAGTTTTCAGTATACAAGTTTTGTCCTTACTTTTTTGAACATATAACTAAGTATTCTGGGTTATTAATGCTATTATAAATGGAATTGTTTTCTTAATTTCAGTTTTTATAATGCTCATAACAAGTGTATATTTATATGTGTATACACACATATAAATTATGTAATCTGAAAATATAGAGAGTTTTATTTTTTCTTTTCCTATCTGGGTACTTCCTCTTTCTTATTTTTGCCTACATGCCCTGGCCAGCACCCCCAGTACAACGTTAGAAGTGGCAAGAATGAATATCCTTATATTTTTCATGATGTTAGGAGAAAAGAATTGTCTTTCACCATTAGGTATGATGGTAGCTGTTAATTTTTTTGCAAATCCCCTTTACTAGGGTGAGGCTTCTACTCCTAGTTTTTTTGTTTGTTTGTTTTTGGTATTGTATTTCTGTCAAATTTTTTTCTGGATTTATTGAGATGAGCATATAGTTTTTCTTTATTCTACTGACATGGCATATCGCATAAATTAACTTTTGGATGTTAAACTGAACTTACATTTTGATAGAGATTGCATTAAATCTGTAGATCACTTTGTGTACTGTTGAAATTTTAACAATACTAACCCCTAATCAAGAATGTGAGATATTTTTTCATTTATTGATGTCTTCCTTAATTTTATTGGTTAATGTTTTATAATTTTCATTGTACAAGTCTTTTACTTCCTTGGTTTGGTTAATTCTTAAGTATTTTATTATTTGTAATGGTATTGCAAATGAAAATATTTTCTTAATTTTATTTTTAGATGTTTATTATTAGTATATAAAAATGCAACTGATTTGTGTGTCTGAACTTTATATCTTCTTTGCTAAATTCATTTAAATTCTGAGTATTTTGTGTATATATTTATATAGAATCTTTAGTTTTCTACATATGAAATCATAAAACAGAGATAATTTTATTTCTTTTTTTCTGATTGAATTTTTAAATTTATTTTTCTTGCTTAAGTTCTCTGACTAGGACTTCCAGTACTATGTTAAATAGAAGTGAGAAGTATTCCCATTCATAGGCATAAGCTGGAAAATGTTTATCTCATAGAAATAAAAAATATAACAAAGAATACTATAAGCTGGAAAAAATAGGGGAAATGGGGAGGTAGGGAGAGATTTGTTAAAGAATACAAAATTACAGCTAGATAGGAAAAATAAGTACTAGTGTTCTATATCACTGTATGATAACTATAGTTAACAATAATATATCATATAGTCTCAAATAGCCAGAAGGAGGTTTTTTGGTGTTCCCCGAACAAAGAAATGATATATGTTTGAGATAACGAATATGGTAGTTACTTTGAATCCAATTACTATACACTGTATGTTTCAAAACATCCCTCTGTACACCATAAATATGTACAATTATCGTGTATAAATTTATTTAAAAAACCTCTAAAGAATCAATCAATAAGTACTTTTTTGGTTTTCTTTTCTTTTTTCTTTCTTTTTTTTTTTTTTTTTTTTGAGACAGAGTCTCGCTCTGTACCCCAGGCTGGAGTGCAGTGGTGCAATCTCAGCTCACTGCAACCTCCACCTCCCGGGTCCTGGTTCAAGCAATTCTCCTGCCTCAGCCTCCCAAGTAGCTGGGATTACAGGCATGCACCACCATGCCCAGCTAATTTTTGTATTTTTAGTAGAGATGGGGGTTTCACCATGTTGGCCAGGCTGGTCTTGAACTCCTGACCTCGTGATCTGCCCACCTTGGCCTCCCAAAGTGCTGGGATTACAGGCATGAGACACTGTGTATGGCCCACTTTTTTGGTTTTCTAAGGAGAAAAAAATGTTCTTGATCTTAAAGGAAAGCTTCCAATTTTTTATTAATACTATTAATATAATGTTTGCCGTGGAGTTTTTATATATGGGTTTTATTATGTTGAGGTAATTGCCTTCTATTTCTACTTTGTCTTTTTTCAGTCATGAAGTAAGGCTGAATTATGTCAAATGCTTTTTCTGCATCAATTGAGATAATCGTGTAATATTTTCTTTCATTTCCTTAATGTAGTATATTTCATTGATTGATTTGTATACATTGAACCTTGCTTTCCAAGTGAGTAAATTTTTAATGTGCTGTTGAATTCAGTTTTCTAGTATACTGTCGAAAACGTTTGCATCTATGTTTATTAGTGATTTTGGTCTGTAATTTTCTTTTCTTCAATTGTGTTTTCCTGGTTTTGGCATCAGGGTAATGCTTGTCTCATGAAGTCAGTCAGGAAGTGCTCTCACCTCTTCAATATATTTGGAAAACTTTGAAAAAAATTTCCATTAATTATCCTTTAAAGATTAAGTGGAATTCACTAGTGAGGGCTTCAGGTCCAGGGATTTACTTTGTTGGGAGATTTTTATTATTTATTTTATTTTCTTACTCATTATATAGTTCTATTTAAATTTTCTATTTCTTCATGGTTTAGTCTTGGTAGCTTTCGAGTTTATAAGGATTTCATGTAGTTATCCAATTGTTGGCATGCAACTGCTCGTAGTACTGTCTTATAATCCTTTTATTTCTATAAAATCCGTAGTAATGTCTTTCATTTTTTAGTTTTGTAATTTGAGTCTTTTCTGCCCTGCTTTTTCTCTTTTTTTATTTAGCTAAAGGTTTGTCAAACTTGATCTTTTCAAAGAGCCAACTTTAGTTTCGTTGCATTTCTCTATTATTATTTTATTCTCTATCCCATTTATCTTTGCTCTTCTATTATTTCCTTCCTTCTGTTACCTTTGTGTTTTTCTTTTTCTAGTACCTTAAGTTATAAAGTTAATCTGCTGATTTAAAACATTTTTGATTAATTTTTAATGTGTTACAGCTATAAATTTTCTTCTTAGTGTGGCCTTCACTGTGCCCCATAAATATTGGTATGTTATGTTTATATTTTCATTTATCTTAAATATTTTTCAGTTTTCCTTGTGATTTCTTTATTAATTCATTTGTTATTTGAGTGTGTTTTGTCATTTCCACAAATTTATGAATTTTCTTGTTTTCCTTCTGTTACTGATTTCTAACTTCATCTGTTGTGGTAAGAGATGAATCTTTGTTTCATAGCTATCCTTTCACACCTACTGAGACAATGTATAGGCCCAAACATAGTCTATCCTGGAAAATGTTCCATGTACCCTTGAGAAGAATTAGTATTCTGTTGCTGGGCAGAGTGTTCCATATGTCTGTTAAAACTACTTGGTTTAGGAGGAGCCAAGATGGCTGAATAGGAACAGCTCCAGTCTACAGCTCCCAGTGTGAGCGACACAGAAGACGGTGATTCTGCATTTCCATCTGAGGTACCGGGTTCATCTCACCAGGGAGTGCCAGACAGTGGGCACAGGTCAGTGGGTGCATGCACCGTGCGTGAGCCAAAGCATTGCCTCACTTGGGAAGCGCAAGGGGTCAGGGAGTTCCCTTTCCGAGTCAAAGAAAGGGGTGACGGACGGCACCTGGAAAATCGGGTCACTCCCACCCGAATACTGTGCTTTTCCAACGGGCTTAAAAAAGGGCGCACCACGAGATTATATCCCGCACCTGGCTTGGAGGGTCCTACGCCCACGGAGTCTCACTGATTGCTAGCACAGCAGTCTGAGATCAAACTGCAAGGTGGCAGCCAGGCTGGGAGAGGGGCGCCCACCATAGCCCAGGCTTGATTAGGTAAACAAAGCAGCCAGGAAGCTCCAACTGGGCGGAGCCCACCACAGCTCAAGGAGGCCTGCCTGCCTCTGTAGGCTCCACCTCTGGGGGAAGGGCACAGACAAACAAAAAGACAGCAGTAACCTCTGCAGACTTAAATGTCCCTGTCTGACAGCTTTGAAGAGAGCAGTGGTTCTCCCAGCATGCAGCTGGAGATCTGAGAACTCCACAGACTGCCTCCTCAAGTGGGTCCCTGAGCCCTGACCCCTGAGCAGCCTAACTGGGAGGCACCCCCCAGCAGGGGCACACTGACACCTCACACAGCAGGGAATTCCAACAGACCTGCAGCTGAGGGTCCTGTCTGTTAGAAGGAAAACTAACAAACAGAAAGGACATCCACACCAAAAACCCATCTGTACATCACCATCATCAAAGACCAAAAGTAGATAAAACCACAAAGATGGGGAAAAAACAGAACAGAAAAACTGGAAACTCTAAAAAGCAAAGTGCCTCTCCTCCTCCAAAGGAACACAGTTCCTCACCAGCAACGGAACAAAGCTGGATGGAGAATGACTTTGACGAGCTGAGAGAAGAAGGCTTCAGATGATCAAATTACTCTGAGCTACGGAAGGACATTCAAACCAAAGGCAAAGAAGTTGAAAACTTTGAAAAAAATTTAGAAGAATGTATAACTAGAATAACCAATACAGAGAAGTGCTTAAAGGAGCTGATGGAGCTGAAAACCAAGGCTCAAGAACTACGTGAAGAATGCAGAAGGCTCAGGAGCCGATGCGATCAACTGGAAGAAAGAGTATCAGGGATGGAAGATGAAATGAATGAAATGAAGCGAGAAGGGAAGTTTAGAGAAAAAAGAATAGAAACAAATGAGCAAAGCCTCCAAGAAATATGGGACTATGTGAAAAGACCAAATCTGCGTCTGATTGGTGTACCTGAAAGTGATGGGGAGAATGGAACCAAGTTGGAAAACACTCTGCAGGATATTATCCAGGAGAACTTCCCCAATCTAGCAAGGCAGGCCAACGTTCAGATTCAGGAAATACAGAGAACGCCACAAAGATACTCCTTGAGAAGAGCAACTCCAAGACACATAATTGTCAGATTCACCAAAGTTGAAATGAAGGAAAAAATGTTAAGGGCAGCCAGAGAGAAAGGTCGGGTTACCCTCAAAGGGAAGCCCATCAGACTAATAGCGGATCTCTTGGCAGAAACCCTACAAGCCAGAAGAGAGTGGGGGCCAATATTCAACATTCTTAAAGACAAGAATTTTCAACCCAGAATTTCATATCCAGCCAAACTAAGCTTCATAAGTGAAGGAGAAATAAAATACTTTACAGACAAGCAAACGCTGAGAGATTTTGTCACCACCAGGCCTGCCCTAAAAGAGCTCCTGAAGGAAGTGCTAAACATGGAAAGGAACCACTGGTACCAGCCGCTGCAAAATCATGCCAAAATGTAAAGACCATCAAGAATAGGAAGAAACTGCATCAACTAACGTACAAAATAACCAGCTAACATCATAATGACAGGATCAAATTCACACATAACAATATTAACTTTAAATGTAAATGGACTAAATGCTCCAATTAAAAGACACAGCCTGGCAAATTGGATAAAGAGTCAAGACCCATCAGTGTGCTGTATTCAGGGAACCCATCTTACATGCAGAGACACACATAGGCTCAAAATAAAAGGATGGAGGAAGATCTACCAAGCAAATGGAAAACAAAAAAAGGCAGGGGTTGCAATCCTAGTCTCTGATAAAACAGACTTTAAACCAACAAAGATCAAAAGAGACCAAGAAGGCCATTACATAATGGTAAAGAGATCAACAAGAAAAGCTAACTATCCTAAATATATATGCACCCAATACAGGAGCACCAAGATTCATAAAGCAAGTCCTGAGTGACCTACAAAAAGACTTAGACTCCCACACATTAATAATGGGAAACTTTAACACCCCACTGTCAACATTAGACAGATCAACGAGACAGAAAGTCAACAAGGATACCCAGGAATTGAACTCAGCTCTGCACCAAGTGGAACTAATAGACATCTACAGAACTCTCCACCCCAAATCAACAGAATATACATTTTTTTCAGCACCACACCACACCTATTCCAAAATTGACCACATACTTGGAAGTAAAGCTCTCCTCAGCAAATGTAAAAGAACAGAAATTATAACAAACTATCTCTCAGACCACAGTGCAATCAAACTAGAACTCAGGATTAAGAAACTCACTCAAAACTGCTCAACTACATGGAAACTGAACAACCTGCTCCTGAATGACTACTGCGTACATGACGAAATGAAGGCAGAAATAAAGATGTTCTTTGAAACCAATGAGAACAAAGACACAACATACCAGAATCTCTGGGACGCATTCAAAGCAGTGTGTAGAGGGAAATTTATAGCACTAAATGCCCACAAGGGAAAGCAGGAAAGATCCAAAATTGACACCCTACCATCACAATTAAAAGAACTAGAAAAGCAAGAGCAAACACATTCAAAAGCTAGCAGAAGGCAAGAAATAACTAAAATCAGAGCAGAACTGAAGGAAATAGAGACACAAAAAACCCTTCAAAAAATTAATGAATCCAGGAGCTGGTGTTTTGAAAGGATTGACAAAACTGATAGACCACTAGCAAGACTAATAAGGAAAAAAAGAGAGAAGAATCTAATAGACGCAATAAAAAATGATAAAGGGGATATCACCAACGATCCCACAGAAATACAAACTACCATCAGAGAATACTACAAACACCTCTACACAATTAAACTAGAAAATCTAGAAGAAATGGATAAATTCCTGGACACATGCACTCTCCCAAGACTAAACCAGGAAGAAGTTGAATCTCTGAATAGACCAATAACAGGATCTGAAATTGTGGCAATAATCAATAGCTTACCAACCAAAAAGAGTCCAGGACCAGATGGATTCACAGCTGAATTCTACCAGAGGTACAAGGAGGAACTGGTACCATTGCTTCTGAAACTATTCCAATCAATAGAAAAAGAGGGAATCCTCCCTAACTCATTTTATGAGGCCAGCATCATTCTGATACCAAAGCCAGGCAGAGACACAACAAAAAAAGAGAATTTTAGACCAATATCCTTGATGAACATTGATGCAAAAATCCTCAATAAAATACTGGCAAAACGAATCCAGCAGCACATCAAAAAGCTTATCCACCATGATCAAGTGGGCTTTATCCCTGGGATGCAAGGCTGGTTCAATATACACAAATCAATAAATGTAATCCAGCATATAAACAGAACCAAAGACAAAAACCACATGATTATCTCAATAGATGCAGAAAAAGCCTTTGACAAAATTCAGCAACGCTTCATGCTAAAAACTCTCAATAAATTAGGTATTGATGGGATGTATTTCAAAATAATAAGAGCTATCTATGACAAACCCACAGCCAATATCATACTGAATGGGCAAAAACTGGAAGCATTCCCTTTGAAAACTGGCACAAGACAGGGATGCCCTCTCTCACCACTCCTATTCAACATAATGTTGGAAGTTCTGGCCAGGGCACAGGGCAGTTAGGCAGGAGAAGGAAATAAAGGGTATTCAATTAGGAAAAGAGGAAGTCAAATTGTCCCTGTTTGTAGATGATATGATTGTATATCTAGAAAACTCCATTGTCTCAGCCCAAAACCTCCTTAAGCTGGCAAGCAACTTCGCAAAGTCTCAGGATACAAAATCAATGTACAAAAATCACAAGCATTCTTATACACCAATAACAGACAAACAGAGAGCCAAATCATGAGTTAACTACCATTCACAATTGCTTCAAAGAGCATAAAATACCTAGGAATCCAACTTACAAGGGACGTGAAGGACCTCTTCAAGGAGAACTACAAACCACTGCTCAATAAAATAAAAGAGGATACAAACAAATGGAAGAACATTCCATGCTCATGGGTAGGAAGAATCAATATCGTGAAAATGGCCATACTGCCCAAGGTAATTTTCAGATTCAATGCCATCCCCATCAAGCTACCAATGCCTTTCTTCACAGAATTGGAAAAAACTACTTTAAAGTTCATGTGGCACCAAAAAAGAGCCCGCATTGCCAAGTCAATCCTAAGCGAAAAGAACAAAGCTGGAGGCATCACACTACCTGACTTCAAACTACACTGCAAGACTACAGTAACCAAAACAGCATGGTACTGATACCAAAACAGAGATATAGATCAATGGAACAGAACAGAGCCCTCAGAAATAACGCCGCATATCTACAACTATCTGATCCTTGACAAACCTGAGAAAAACAAGAAATGGGGAAAGGATTCCCTATTTAATAAATGGTGCTGGGAAAACTGGCTAGCCATAAGTAGAAAGCTGAAACTGGATCCCTTCCTTACACCTTATACAAAATTCAATTCAAGATGGATTAAAGGCTTAAACGTTAAACCTAAAACCATAAAAACCCTAGAAGAAAACCTAGGCATTACCATTCAGGACATAGGCATGGGCAAGGACTTCATGTCTAAAACACCAAAAGCAATGGCAACAAAAGCCAAAATTGACAAATGGGATCTAATTAAACTAAAGAGCTTCTGCACAGCAAAAGAAACTACCATCAGAGTGAACAGGCAACCCACAAAATGGGAGAAAATTTTTGCAACCTACTCATCTGACAAAGGGCTAATATCCAGAATCTACAATGAACTCAAACAAATTTACAAGAAAAAAACAAACAACCCCATCAAAAAGTGGGCAAAGGACATGAACAGACACTTCTCAAAAGAAGACATTTATGCAACCAAAAAACACGTGAAAAAATGCTCATCATCACTGGCCATCAGAGAAATGCAATTCAAAACCACAATGAGATACCATCTCACACCAGTTAGAATGGCAATCATTAAAAAGTCAGGAAACAACAGCTGCTGGAGAGGATGTGGAGAAATAGGAACACTTTTACACTGTTGGTGGGACTGTAAACTAGTTCAACCATTGTGGAAGTCAGTGTGGCAATTCCTCAGGGATCTAGAACTGGAAATACCATTTGACCCAGCCATCCCATTACTGGGTATATACCCAAAGGACTATAAATCATGCTGCTATAAAGACACATGCACACGTATGTTTATTGCGGCATTATTCACAATAGCAAAGACTTGGAACCAACCCAAATGTCCAACAATGATAGACTGGATTAAGAAAATGTGGCACATATACACCATGGAATACTATGCAGCCATAAAAAATGATGAGTTCATGTCCTTTGTAGGGACACGGATGAAATTGGAAAACATCATTCTCAGTAAACTATCGCAAGAACAAAAAACCAAACACCGCATATTCTCACTCATAGGTGGGAATTGATCAATGAGATCACATGCACACAGGAAGAGGAATATCACACTCTGGGGACTGTTGTGGGGTGCGGGGAGGGGGGAGGGATAGCATTAGGAGATATACCTAATGCTAGATGACGAGTTAGTGGGTGCAGTGCACCAGCATGGCACATGTATACATATGTAACCAACCTGCACAATGTGCACATGTACCCTAAAACTTAAAGTATAATTAAAAAAAAAAAAACTACTTGGTTTATTGTGTTCAAGTCCTCTATTTTCTTATTTATTTTGAGACTAGTATGTTCTATACATGATTGAGAGTAGGACATTGAAATCTCCAACTATTATTGTAGAACTGTTTATTTCTCCCTTTAAATCTGTCAATTTTTTTCTTTATATGTTTTGATGGTCTGTTATTATTTTGTAATCTCTATTGACTTGTCCTCAAGACAATGATTATTTTCTGCCAGCTCAAATCTGTTGAGATTTATTTTGGTTATTCTACCTTTTAACTGGAGAATTTTCATTTGTTTTTATTTAAATAGTGTATATTACTTTATCATATTCTTGACGCATTATTTCCCTTAGTTTTTTTAACGTGTTTATATTATGTACCTTTTCAAAGTCGGCTTCTATTGACCATTTTCCCTGTGTATGCATTACATTCACATTCTTTCCATGTCTCCTAACTTTTTATTGAAAACAGCTTATTTTAGATAGTATAACAAATCTGAATATAGATCCGCTACAGGAAGGAGTAATTGTTATTTGATTGGTTTTTTGTTTGTTTATTTGTTTAGTAACATGGTTGAAATCCATTACTTTTCAGCATGCAGTCTCTTATGTCCCTGGTCAGATTTTTTTTTGGTTTGTTTGTTTTAATCTTGTAGCTTGGCTACTTATAGGTCAGTCCTAGTCAGCATAGCCACTTATTAGTCAAATGTTATGATTAAACTCTCTCAGCCAGTAAGATCTTTCCTCCATATGTTGATATGTTGAATATGTATGTGGCTTACAGACTACTGTCTAAATTCAGCTTGGGACCAAGACCTTGGAGGTTATTCTTCTCATTGCTGTTTTGAGGGCACAGCATTGGGCATGCACACTCTTTCAGACTACCAGTGGTGGCTATGATTTATTTCTAAACATAGCTTCCTAGGAGTTCACACTTGTGTCAGAGAAGCTTGCCAGTAAGTGTTTGTTTCATAAGAAGTTGAATTTAAGCATTTGTGCCATTGAGGGGTGTGCCCTTGTAATTGGTCTGTGTGTGGTTTTGAAAACACCTTCAAGTCTGTCCACTTCCTGTGCTGATTGCTTCTGAGTGAGCGAAGCACAGCCTTCTTGACTCCCGGGGTTGAGTATGATTCCAGGAGTACTCTTCTTAGATATCTCTTTTCCTTGTTCTCTCTATTAAAGCTCTGAATGTTTCCCTCTATTGCATCATGCTTTGTATCATGGAGCTTCTAGTCTCTCTTAATTTCTCACCACTAAGATATCCATTATTTTGAATACTTCTCTTAGTCACAGAGTTCCCCATGCTTTTTAACAACAACAATAATAATAATAAAAACCCTCAGGCAGCGTTGCAGAGCTCCGTAGATGAAAGCTGGGGTGGGGGAAAGGATCAGAAAAGGGAGCCCTGTGTTTTTGGCTATACCAATCTGCAATATAGTTTTTTGCATGCTGGGCTGAAGGGGGTAGAAAGGAAGTGGGTCATGACCCAAATACTATAGAAACTCACTGTTCTTACTGAGACTTAGTAGATTTTTCCAGTGAATGATTCTTCAATTCCTGTATGCTCTTAGACAATTTCCCTAGACTATAAATATTTTTTATGGTCTTCAACAATAAAATTTTTGTTTTGCCAAGAAAAGGTTACTCCTTTTCTAGGCTAGGTTACTCCTAGCTCTTGACTCTGTCACTCTGGAAGTTCTGCCTCCTATATATGTATTTGCATATGCAACTCATGCAGAGAAATGTATTTATAGTGTGTGTGCAACCACATACATTTACAATTGAATAGAAAAAAATCTGGCACACTAAGCACACTAATGTTAGCAAAATAGAACCTTGGGTATGGTTGGCTAAGTGCAGACTAGTTTTTATTTTATCAGTTATTTCTATTGATACAGTGCTGTCACTCTCCTGCTTTATATACCTCATTAAATTCTTGCCATTCCAAATAGTAAATACTTAAATGTTGCCATCCTAGGTCCTTTCTAGTCTGTTTCCAAGACTTTTGTCCAACATGTCCTTACTCTCCTTTCTTCCTGTTAAAATTTGACTTACTATCCAAGGCCCTTATGAAACATTACCTTTCTCAAGATTTATTTCTTGATCATGCCTTTGTGTCCCACCTTCCCTTTCATATAACTTTATGGGATACATGGTTTAGTTAACTTAATCCTTTCCTGCTAGATTGTGAATGCCTCACAGGCGGAAAGTATGTCTTATTCTTTTTATTCTTTCCCTAGTGCTTTACAAAGCAACTGCCACTTAGTAGGAACTCAATGAAAATTAGTCATTCTCGAATAATTGTATTCCACCATAATATCTGGCAGCAGAAATCACTTGCTTAAGGCTGTGTCTACATGCATTCAACATTAAGTGTAAACAGAAATATGTACTCTGTTAGGAAATTAGTGGAAATATATTGCCTTGAATACTTGAACTTACAGGGCACAAAACATATGCAATTGAGGGTGTGAAAAAAATATGAAATTCTGGCTCCCAGAAAAAAGAAAGCTATGAAAGTTGAATTTTTTCTGAGTATTTGCTTTGCTCCAGGCAGTATGTTAATCACCTTTCATACTTTTACTTATCTGTTTATTTTTTATAATAATCCTGAGACTTAGGCATTATTCACACTTCACAGAATGAGAATTTGAGACCCAGAGCTGTTAAATGACTTACCGAATGTTACAAAACCAATAGCTGGTGGAGCCAAGACTCAAACCCAGGCGTGATCCAAAGCTTGACTTTCCTGAATTTTAATTTGTCATTGTAATAAAACTATTTAAAATTAATTATCCTGTAACTGGCAGTGATCTTTAACTTCTGTTTTCCCTGTTTGGGGTCATCTTAAAAATCAGTGGTATATTGGACTGACTGGATCTTTTTGTCTCATTAGATATCGTCACATAAGCATAGACAAGAACATGGGTGAGACTTATAACACCTATTGGTTGTAGGGAAGACCAGAAAGCCTTCCTGGCATTTCCTGCAGAAACAGCCTTTCAGATGTCTTCTTGGTGGGAGACAAAGGGCATTGCCAACTAGCTAATAGGCAGACCTATCTTTTAAAAAGAATACTGGATAATGCTCTGAAAGCAGAAAATATTTATCCTTAGTTGCATGTTAAGGTCAGCATGTTATCTCTGAATTTTCCCCTTCCCTTCCTCTCTCCACAATAACAGATGGATACAGCTATTTGGATAATGCCTCATTTTAGTGAAGTTCCTTAATTAAACTAGATACTCTGAAAAAACACAGTGTTTTGCAGGTGGTGACACATGCATCAACATGTTAAAAAATTCCCTGTGTAAGTGAAAATTAGTTATTTGCTTTCAGCAAATAATTTGAATTCAGCCTAATAGGTCATTGGTTTGAATAAATATGGTTTGTTTCTTAGTGTGGGATAATACATAGGCAATGTATCACTATGCTCTGTAATGACATATTTCTAGAGCAAGGATATGTTCTATAAATGAACTTCTTCATCGAACTTACATAGCACCGTTTTATACACATTTGGCTGCTTCAGAAAGAGCCAAGGACTTCACCTGATCATTGGGGCTCTTCCTAAGACACCTCAAGGGAGAGTCCTTTAATATGTGGCTTCCTGTCATTCCCATGGCCAACAAATCAGGCCAACCAATCAGGCCATACCACCACAGGCAACACAGTTTTAACAGCATGGGCCTTGGAACCAGACAAACCTAGACTGGAATCTTGTAATCACCTACTGCTAACAGCATAACCTTGGATGAGTTACAATCCTATCTAGATTTTAGTGTCCTCATTTGTAAAATGGGATTAGTAACACCTAGCTCCTTGGTTTGTTGTAGGAATTAAGTAAAATGATTAAGGAAAAAATAATAAGCCATTAATTGAGATGCATTTATAAATAACTCTTGAGCTCAGCACAGGAAAGAATTCTGATGGATTGGTGATGTTTCTGACAGCATAGGATAGGGAATGGCAGTGCAATTTGCAATCTCATATTTCTCACTTTCAAATCTTACAAGGTCATTGTCATTGGTTTCTTTGAGCTCTGGCTTGAGAAAAAAGGAGAACATAGTTCTACGGATGGAGGATGATTCTATTTACAGAGGTTAGATTTTTTTTTTATTGTAAACTTATGATAAAAGGAATTTAAGTTTAATGTAGGCAAGAGATTACCAGAAGTCAGAAGTATGGGAAAAATAATCCCAAGAGAGATTTGGAATTATTTAGGAATTTTAAGAGTAAACTAACTGGCCGGTCGTGTTGGCTCACACCTGTAATCCTAGCACTTTGGGAAGCTGAGGCTAGTAGATTGCCTGAGCTCAGGAGTTCAAGACCACCCTGGGCAACATGGTGAAACCCTGTCTCTACTAGAAATACAAAAAAAAGAAAAAATTTTCTGGGTGTGGTGGTGTGCACCTGTAGTCCCAGCTACTCGGGAAGCTAAGGCACGAGAATCACTTGAGCCCAGGAGGCAGAGGTTGCAGTGAGCCGAGATTGCACCAATTCACTCCAGCCTGGGTGACAGAGTGAGACTCCATCTCAAAAAAAAAAAAAAAGAGTAAGCCAACAAATATTAATACACATGTGCAAAGTCTAAGGGAAATCAGTCCAGAATAAAAATAAATAAAGGTAAATCTCAGAAAGCACCTTCAAGAAGGTGGATTAATGGGTCAGGCATGGTGGCTCACGCCGGTAATCCCAGCACTTTGGGAGGCTGAGGCAGAGGGACCACGAGGTCAGGAGATCGAGACCATCCTGGCTAGCATGGTGAAACCCCATCTCTACTAAAATAATTAAAAAATAATAAATAAAAAAAGAAGGAAAAGAAGGTGGATTAAAAGCACCAAGTAGTCTTATCCTCCACAAAGGGGAACCAAAATAGTGAGAAGATAACTGCAATGCAAATACATAAATACATAATGTAAGAAAGAACACTGGAATTCAACAGAGAAGCTACAGGAAACACCTAAAATAAGCACGGAGAGGGAAGCATGGCAGTCTGCTTCTCTGGGATCATCCGGTAGCCTGAAGAGATTCTCCATTGCAGTCAAGGATAAGTGAGTCACCCATAGAGCTTCACATTTCCACTATGGACTCTTGCATCCTGGGCATGGGAAAGCCCCTAGACCCTTGCAGTCCCTAAGACTAGCATAAGGAGTTGCATGGAGGCAGTATGAAAACATTGTTCCAGACAGGGAGCTCACACTGAGTCCAATACATTCTAAGCTAAGCAGCTACTGAAAGACAGCATATTTAGAGCCCAGCCTCCACCAGACTGCATCCTGCCTGGAGGTCCAACAGTGCTTGCATCCCCACATCTCTAGAGCCTTCAGAGATTCCCCACCTTCAGCCACCACCATGGCTGGATGCTGCATCCAGGGCTGAAGTATGAGCTTTTGGCAAATACCCTGTTGCCCCAGGAGTGATGTCACTTCACATTTTCATGCACTCTGAGGGCAAACTCTGCAACTAGCAGTAGCCATCACTACAAGCTGTCACATCCAGGGTTGAAACACAAGTGAAGCACATACTCCTCAGCTGTCTGCCTATGACTGTTGTCCCTGAAAGCACACCTGTTCTCCCCAATAGTAGGTCTACAGTGCAGCCACTGCTGCTGCCACCCTCACCCAGAGCATTCTGCTGTGGGCCTTGGGCTCAATCTGCTGCTGCCTACCACAGCCAGTGCCTATCCACACCACTTGGGTGCTGGAGGATGGGCCCACCAAGCCCTGCTTTACATTCTTATGCTGTTCAAGGGCCTGGGGACTTCCCTGCCCAGTCCACTACTGTTGACACCCGAGTGTTCCTCTTAAGGGACTGAGATCAGGCCCACCCAACCTGTTACTACCATCACAGTTGGCACTAAACTGCACATGCTTCTGTGGGCCTGGAAACTGGCCCACCTTGCTCATTGCAGCCACTGCTAACACTGGCAAATACCACTTGGTTCCCAAAGGTTAGACACCCCACTGCTATTGCCATTGTCCACAACATGCAGGCTGCTAGAGGCCTGATAACCCACCACCAGCAAAGCCTATCAATGCCTAGAGGCTCAAAAATTCATCCCTCTGAACCATCTAAAACTGGTGCCAGTGTATTCAGCCCTAGGGACCAAGGACAGGCATGCTCTGCCTGCTGCTGCCACCACTGGTCCCTGAGCACTGGCCCAACTGGCATCCTGAGCCCAGCAAAACTTCACCACAGCCTCCACTAACAACTTTACCCTAAATCACTGAGGAAATAACAGACACCACTGATGCTTTTTACAGCCAAAGACATCACACAGAGTCCACACTACTGCACACATCCAGAATCAAAGCCAATGTACTCTACTGAACTAACACCATAAATACATACTCAAAAAGAATTCCTCCCCTATGAAAGCAAATTGAAAAATTTGAAAGCAGTCACTATTACACCAGATGTGCAGATATCAACATAAGGACACAGAAACATAAAAAAGCATGGAAAATATGACACTTCCAAAGGAACGCAATAATTCTTCAGCAACAGGTTCCAATCAAAAAGAAATTTATGAAATCCCAAGATGAAGATAAAAGGAATATAAATGTGTTCATTATCACTGTACACTTAAAAATGATGAAGGTAATATATATGTATATATACATATATACATAAACACACATAAACACACTTATATG
Source organism: Homo sapiens (assembly GCF_000001405.40). Taxonomy (NCBI): domain Eukaryota; kingdom Metazoa; phylum Chordata; class Mammalia; order Primates; family Hominidae; genus Homo; species Homo sapiens. The sequence continues at coordinate 22,642 of NW_003315919.1, forward strand.
TATAAAACTTCAATAAAAAACTTCAAAAAATTTAATATTAAAAAAGAGAGAATATTATGAAATTCCCGATAAAGTATTCAATATCATGATATTAAATAATCTAAATGAGATACAATGAAATTTTTAAGATTACAAAGAAATTAGAAAAACAATTCAGGATCTGAATGAAGAGTTTTCCAAAGAGATAGATATAAGAAAGAACTAAACAGAAATTCCGCAACTAAAGAATTCCTTGAATAAAGTACAAAATGCATTTAAAAACTTCAAAAGTAGATTAGCGAAAATCAAAGAAATAATTTCAAAACTTGAAGGCAGGTCTTTTGAAATTACCCAGTGAGACAAAACTCAGAAAAAAAGAACCAAAAAGAGTGAGCAAAATCTATGTGACATGTGAAACATGATAAAGCAACCGCATATTTAAATTTTCATTGTCCCTGAAGGTAAAGAAATAAACAAAATAATTAGAAAACATATTTAACAAAATAATAGCAGAAAACTTTCCAAGTCTACCAAGAGATTTAGACATTGAGATACAAGACATTCAGAAATCCTCAAACTGATACAATCAAACACGTCTTCTTCATGGCATATTAAAATCAAAGTATCAAAAGTCAAGACAAAGAAAGAAGATAAAAACAGTAAGAGAAAAATATCTATTCCCTTAGACGTAAATCTAGAATAATAGCAGATTTCTCAGTGAAAACCTTACAGGCCAGGAGAGAATGGGATGACATATTCACTGTGCTGAAAGATAAAACCAGCTAATCAAGGATACTAGAGTTGGCAAAGTTATCCTTTATAAGATAAGATAATAAAAGACAGATAAAGTCTTTCTCAGACAAGCAAAAGCTCAGGGAATTCATCAACACTAGATTGGCCCTTAAAATTTGCTTAAGGGCTGGGCACGGTGGCTCATGCCTATAATCCCAGCAATTTGGGAGGCCGAGGCCAGTGGATCATGAGGTCAGGAGATGAAGACCATCCTGGCTAACACAGTGAAACCCTGTCTCTACTAAAAATACAAAAAATTAGCTGGGCGTGTTGGTGGGCACCTGTAGTCCCAGCTACTTGGGAGACTGAGGCAGGAGAATGACATGAACCCAGGAGGCAGAGCTTTCAGTGAGCCGAGATCGCACCACTGCACTCCAGCCAGGGTGACACAGCGACACTGTGTCTCAATAAATAAATAAATACATACATACATACATACATAAATTGCTTAAGAGAGTACTATAACTGGAAGCAAACGGATGCTATTTATCATCATGAAAAAACATGAAATTTCAAAACCCACTGATAAAACAAACACAAAATTAAAGAAGAGAAATAATTCAAATGTTACCACTGCAGAAAAAAAAAAAACCAAAATGGCAAACAATAAAAGGGAAATAAAAGAACAAAGGATATACAAAACAATGATAAATCAATCAGGAACAACCCTCACATATCAATAATAACATTAAATGTAAATGGATTAAACTTTCCACTTAAAAGATGTAGACTGACTGAATGGATTAAAAACAAACAAACAAACAAACAAAAACCAGGCCCAGCTATATGCTGTCTATGCTCTCTAAAAGAAACTAATCTCACTTGTAAAAACAATTTTAGACTGAAAGTGAAAGTTGGAAAATTACACTTGTGCAAATGGAAACCATAATTGAGTAGGAGTGGCTATACTTATATCAGATAAAACAGAATTTAAGTCAGAAGAAGTAAAAACAGACAAAGAGGGTCATATGTAATGCTAAGGGGATAAATTCAGCAAGAGAATATAACAGTTCTAAACATATATGCAGCCAACACAGAGCACACAAATATGTAAATCAAATATTATTAGAGCTAAAAGGAGAGATAGACTCCAATACAATAAGATTTGGGGACTTGAACACCCTACTCTCAGCATCAGACAGATCATCTGGACAGACAATTAACAGAGACACATTGGATTTAAACTGCAATTAAACTAAATGGACCTAACAGACATTTACAGAACATTTCATCCCACTGCTGCAGAATGCACATCTTTATCAGCTCATGAAACATTCTCCATGATAGAACATATATTAGGACATAAAACAAATTTAAAGAAATTTTTAAAAATCAAAATTATATGAAGTATCTTCTCAGACAACTGTAAAATTAAAAAGGAATTAATACCAAGAGGTACATGGGAAAGAGTACAATTACATGGAAATTAAATGTCATGCTAAATTAACACCTGGATGACCATTGGGTCAAGGAAGTAATTAAGGAAGAAATTAAAATTAAAAAGTCTTGAAACAAATGGAAACAGATATACAACATAACAAAACCTCTGGAATATAGAAAAAGCAGTGCTATGAAGAAACTTTATAGCAATAAATGCCTACATCAAAGTAGTAGAAAGATTTAAAATAAAAAAAAATTAATGATGCACCTCAAGGAACTAGAATAAACTGAACTCCAACTTAGTAGAAGAAAATAAATAATAAGTACTGAAGCAGAACTAAACAAAATAAAAACAAAAAAAAAAAGGCTCAACAAAATGAAAACTTGGTTTATTGAAAAGATAAACAAAATCAATAATAAATAGCTGGCTAGATAAACCAAAAGAAAACAGAGAGCTCAAACTCAGTCTGAAGTGAATAAGGAGACATGACAACTCACGCCACAGAATGGGCTGGCAAAGTTGTGTGGATGGATGGTTAGGGATAAGGAACGTTTGGTTAATGGGTACAAGCATACAGTTAGATAGAAGAAATAAGTTCTAATGCTTGATAGCAGAATAGACTAACTATACTTAACAACAATGTATTGCATATTTCAAAATAGAAGAGAGAACTTGAAATGTTCCCAACACATAGAAGTGATAAATACTGGAGGTGATAGATACCCCAAGTACTCTGACTTGATCCTTATACAGTCTATGCATGTAATAAAATATCACATATTCCAATCAATAGGTAAAAAACATTTGTCAATAAAAAAATAGAGCTATGGAAGAAGAGGCAGATCAAGACAGCTGAATAGAAGCCTCCAGTAATTATCCTCCCTCAAGAAGAACACCAAATCGAACAACAATCCACACACAAAAAAGTGAATGATTAGAAGGGAGTGATCACAGTACTTGGTTTTAACATCACAGTACTTGGTTTTAACATCATGTTTAGGAAAGAGGCACTAAGCAGGGTGAGAAACACAGTCTTGAATTGCTTAAATCACCCCTCATCCATCCCTTGGCAGCCGTCACATGGTGTATAGAGAGAATCTGTGTGCTTGTGCTTGGGAGAGGGAGAATGCAGTGATTGTGGCACTTTGCATTGGAACTCAGTTCTGCTGTGTCACAGCAGAAAGCAAACAAGGCAGAACTCAAGTGACACCCATGGAAGGAGCATTTAGACCAGCCTAGCCAGAGGCAAATTGTCCATCCCAGTAGGTGGAGTCTGATTTCCAATAAGCCCCATGACTGTGTGCTAAATGCTGTGAGTTTTTAAATAAACTTGAAAAGCAGTCTACACCACAAGGACTGCAATTCCTGGGCAAGCCCAGGTGCTGTGCTGAGCTCAAAGCTGGTACATGAAACCTAGTGAGACACCAGGTGATGCAGCCAAAGGAGGGCTTGCATCAATCCTACACCAGCCTCAGGCAGCACAGCTTGCAGCTGTGGAAGGCACTCCTTCCTTCCACTGTGGAGAAAAGAAGGGAAAATAAAGAGGGATTTGTCTTGAAACTTTGATACCAGCTCAGCCACAGTAGAATAGAGTACTGGCAGAGTCCTGTAGCCTCCATTACAGGCCATAGCTCATGGATGGCATTTCTAGACACATCTGGGCCAGAAGGAAGCCTGCTGCCTTGAAGGGAAGGACAATATTCTGGTAGGATTTATCACCTTCTGACTAAAGAGCCTTTGGCCCCTAAATAATCATCAGCAGTAGCCAGGTAGTAATGACCATGAGCTTTGGGTGAAACTCAGAGCTGTGCTGGCTTCAGGTGTGACCCATCACACTACCAGCTATAGTGGCTATGGGGAGAGTCTCCTGCTTGAGAATCAGAGAGAGAGGAGTAAAGAGACTTTGCTTTGTAGCTTAGGCACTAGCTTGGCCACAGTGTAGTAAAGTACCAATGGGGCTCCTATGGTCCCCAATTGCAGAGCTTGGCTTTTGTATGACATTTCTGGACCTGCCCTTAGCCAGAGGGGTCCCACTGTCTTGAATGAAGAGAATCAGGCCTGACAACATTCACCACAAGCTGATGGTAGAGTTCCTGGGCCTTGAGTGAACAATGCAGGTAGCCAGGCAGTATTCACTATGGACTAGGGTGGTGGTTGCCATGGAGAGAGACACCTCTACTTTAGGAAAGGGAAGGGAAGAGTGGGAAAGACATTGCCTTGTGCTTCAGTTTCAGCTCAGCTGCAGTAGAACAGAGCACCAGGTACATTCCTAAGGCTCCTGACTCCAGGTCCTGACTCCTGGACAACACCTCTGAACCTGCACAGGGCCAAAGAGAATTCATCATCTTGAATGGAAGGACACAAATCTGGCTGTATTTATCTCCTGCTGATAATAGAGCCTTGGGTCTTGAGTGAACATAGGTGATAGCCAGGGAGTGTACACTGTGGACTTTGGGCAAGACAGGTGCTGTGCTAGTTTCAGGTCTGACCTATCACAGCACCAGTGACGGTGGCCACAGAGATGCTTGTTTCACCTCTCACCCAGCTCCGGGTAGCTCAGTACATATAGAGAAAGACTCCATTTGTTTGGGAGAAAGTAGGGAAAAAGAACAAGAGTCTCTGCCTTGTAACATGGAATTTTCCTGGATCTTCCTTAGAACACCAAGGCATTATGTCTATGAGTCTGCCAGAGCTACATTACTGGGCTTGGGGTCCCTTCTAATGCACATATAGATGCAGTTACCAAAGACTTAGATCACAACACCTAAGTCCTTGCAAATACTTGGAAAGCATTCCCAAGAAGTACAAATACAAATTAGCCCAGACTACAAAGACTACAATAAATACCTAACTCTTCAATGCCACAACATTGATGAACATCCACAAGCATCAATACCATTCAGTAAAACGTGACCTCACCAAACAAACTACACCAAGCACCAGTGACAGAGATAGGACCTTTCAGACAGAGACTTTAAAATAGCTGTTTTGAAGAAGCTCAATGAAATTCAAGATTATACATACAAGGAATCCAGAATTCTATCAGAAAAATTTAATGAAGAGATTGAAATAATTTTGAGAAATGAAACAAAACTTCTGGAGCTGAAAAATTAAATTGACATACCCAAGAATGCATCAGAGTCTCTTAACAGCAGAACTGATTAAGCAGAAAAAAGAATTAGTGAGCTTGAAGACAAGCTATTTGAAAATGCACAGTAGACGAAAACAGAAGAAAAATATAAAAAAGACAGAAGGATGCCTACAAGGTCTAGAAAATAAAATCGAAAAGAGCAAATCTGAGAGTTATTGGTCAAAGGAGAGATAGAGAGAGATCAGGGTAGAAAGTTTATTCAAAAGGATAATAACATAACTTTCTAAATCTAGAGAAAGAAATATCAATACACAATTAAAAGAAGGTTATAGAACACCAAGCAGATTTAATCCAAATAAGAGCACCTCTAGATATTTAATAATAGAACTCCAATAGGTCAAGGATAAAGAAAAGATTCTAAAAGCAGCAAGAAAAAGAAAACAAATAACATACAAAGGAGTTCCAATATGTCTAGCAGCAGACTTTTCAGTGGAAACTTTACAGGTCAGGATAGAGTAGCATGACGTATTTAAACTGCTGAAATTAAAAAAAAAAAAAAAAAACCTTTATACTAGGAAATTACATTCAGTGAAACTATCCTCAAACATAAAGGAAAAATAAAGACTTTCCCAGACAAATAAAAATTGAAGGCATTCATCAACACCAGACTTGTCCAAAAAGAAATGCTAAAGAAACCTCTTCAATCTTTAAGAAAATGAAAATAATCAGTAATAAGAAATAATCTGAAGGTATAAAACTCAACTGGTAATACTAAATACACAAACAGGATATTACTGTACTGTATTTGTAGTGTGTAAACTATGCACATCTTGAGTAGGAAGGCTAAAACATGAAACTAGCAAAAATAATAAAAACAAAACTTTTCAAGAAGTAGTATAATAAAAATAGAAACAACAAAAAGTTAAAAAGTGAAAGATGAAGTTAAAGTGTAAAGCTTTCATTGCATTTCTTTTGGCTTGTTTGTTATGTTGTTTGATTGTTTATGCAATCACTGTAAACTTGTCAGTTTAAAATAATGGGCTTTAAGCTATTATTTGCAAGCCTCACGGCAATTCCAAATGAAAGCACATACAACAAATACATAAAAAATAAAAAGAAAGAAATTAAAGAAATTAAAATATACCACCTGAGATAATTCTCTTTCCTAAAAGGAAGACAGGAAGAAAGAAAAGAAGAGAGAGAACACCACAAAACAACTAGAAAATGAATAACAAAATGACAGAATTAAGTCCTTACTTATCAATAATAACATGTAAATGGATTAAACTCTCCAATCAAGACATAGAGTGGCTTAATGAAAAAAAGAAAATCCAATGATCTTTTGCCTACAAGATACACTTTATCTATAAAGACACATGTAGACTGAAAATAAAGGGATGGAAAAAGATATTCTACTGAAATGGAAACCAAAAAAGAGAAGGAGCAGATACATCAGACAACATATATTTCAAGACAAAACTCTAAATAGAGACAAAGAAGGTCATTACATAATGATAAATGAGTGAATTAAGTAACAGGACATAACAATTGTAAATATATATGCACCCAACACTGGATCACCCAGATATATAAAGCAAATATCATTAGAGCTACGGAGAGAAATAGATCTCAATACAATAATAGCTGGAAACGTCAACACTCAACTCTCAGCATTGAATAGATCATCCAGACAGAAAATCAACATAGAAACATCTGATGGAACTATTAGATATTAACAGAACATTTCATCCAACAGCTTTGGAATACAGATTCTTTTCTTCATCACAAAGATCATTCTCAAGGATAGACCATATGTTAGGCCACAAAAAAAGTCTTAGAAAATTCAAAAAAAATGAAATAATATCAAATATCTTCTTAGAAAATAATGAAATAAAAGTAGAAACCATAACAAGATATTGACTTAGGAAACTATACAAAACATGGAAATTAAACAATATGCTCTTGAATGACCAGTGGGTCAATGCAGAAATTAAGAAAAAAAGTTATGAATTTATTGAAACAACTGATAATGGAATCACAATGTACTTAAACCTATGAGATACAATGAAAGCAGTACTAAGAGGGAAGTTTGTGTCAATAAGCACCCACATCAAAAAAGTAGAAACACTTCAAATAAATAATCTAATAATGTGTCTTAAAGATCTAAAAAAGCAAGAGCAAATCAAATTCAAAATAAATAGAAGAAACAAAATAATAATGACAGGAGCAGAAATAAATGAAATGGAAAGGAATAAAAATACAAAAGATCAATGAAAAATTGTTTCTTTGAAAGATAAGCAAAATTAATGAAACTTTACCCAGATGATATGATTTGGCTCTGTGTCCCCACCCAAATCTCATGTTGAATTGTAATTCCCAATGTTGGAGAAGGAACCTGATGGGAGGTGATTGGAACATGAGGGCAGATTTTCCCCTTGCTGTTGTTGTGATGGTGAGTGAGTTCTCATGAGATGTGATATTTTAACAGTGTGTGGCATGTCCTCCTTTGCTCTCTCTCTTGCCTCCATGTGAAAATACACTTGCTTCCCCTTTACCCTTCTGCAATAATTGTATGTTTCCTGAGGCCTCCCAGCCATGCTTCCTGTACAGCCTGAAGAACTGTGAATCAATTAAACCTCTTTTCTTCATAAATTAACTAGTCTCAGGTAGTTCTTTATAGCAGTGTGAAAATGAACTAACACATCAAACTAAGAAAAAAAAAGAGAAGACCCAAATAATATCAGAGATAAAATGCAGATATTAAAACTGCAGATACTGCAGAAATTCAAGGATCATTAGAGGCTACTATGAACAACTATATGCCAATAAATTGGAATACCTAAAAGAAATGGATAAATTACTAGACACATACAACCTACCAAGATTGAACCATGAAGAAATTCAAAACGTGAATGGACCAATAACAAGTAATGAGATTGAAGTTGTAATAAAAAGCCTCTTAGCAAAGGAAAGCCTAGGACCTAATACCTTTACTCCTGAATTTTAGCAAACATTTAAAGAACTAACACCAATTCTAGTCAAACTACTCCACAAAATAAAGGAGGAAATAATACTTTGAACACATTCTACAAGGCCAGTATTACCCTGGTACCAAAGTCGAAGATGCAGCAAAAAGAAAAAAAAAAGAAATGAAATTACAGCCTAATATGCCTGTTTAACATTGATGCAAAAATCCTCAATGAAATACTAGCAAACTGAATTTAACAACACATTAAAAAGATCATTCATTATGACCATATAGGGTTTATCCCAGTGATGCAATGATGGTTCAACATACACAAATCAATGAATGTAATACACCATATCAAGAACATAAAGGACAAAAGCCATTTGATCATTTCAATTGATGCTTAGAAAGCATTTGATGAAATTCAGTATCCCTTCATGACAAAAACCTTCAAAAACTAGGAATAGAAGGAACATACCTCAATACAATAAAAGCCATATATGAGAGACACACATCTGGTATCATACTGAATGGGGAGAAACTGAACCCTTTTCCTCTAAGATATGGAACAAGACAAAATGTCTACTTTCACCACTCTTATTCAACATAGGACTGGAAGTTCTAGCTAGACAATTAGACAAGAGGATGAAATAAAGCATATACAAACTGGGAAGGAAGAAGTCAAGTTATCCTTGTTTGCAGATAATATGATCTTATATTTAGAAAAACCTAAATAATCCACAAAAAAACTATTGTTAATGATAAACAAACTCAGTGAGTGTCAGGATAGAAAATCTACATACAAAAGTCAGTAGCATTTCTATATGCCAGTGGTGAACAAGAAATCAAGAAAGTAATTCCATTTACAATAGCTACAAATAAAACAAACTACCTAGGAATAAACCTAAGCAAAGAAGTAAAAATCTCAAGAATATAAACTATAATACACTGATGGATGAAATTGAAGAGGACAGGCAAAAATGGAAAGATATTCTGTGTTCATTGATTGGAAGAATCAATATTTTTAAGATGTTCATACTACCCAAAGCAGTCTACAGATTCAATGCAATCCCTGTCAAAAACCAGTAATAATCTTCATAGAAATAAAAAAACCCATAAAATTTATATGGAATAACAAAAGATCCAGCATAGCAAAATCTATTCAGATCAAAAAGAACAAAATTTAAAAAATTACATTATTTGATTTCAGATTATACTACAGAACTATAATAAGCAAAATGGTATGACATTATTATAAAAACAGATACACAGACCAATGGAACAAAATACTACCATGAATTCATTTTCAATGAAGGTGCCAAGGGGATGCATTGGGGAAAGGATATATTCTTTAATAAATGGTGCTGAGAAAACTGGATATCCATATACAGAAGAATGAAACTTGACTCCTATCTCTCACCATATGTAAAAATAAAACCAAAATCAATTAGAGACTTAAATCTAAGATCTCAAGCTATGAAACTAACAAAAGAAGACATTCAGAAAACTCTCTAGGCCATTGGTCTGGGCAAAGGTTTCTTGAGTAGTACCTAACAAGCACGGGCAACCAGAGAAAAAATGGACAACTAACATCACATCAGATTAAAAAGCTTCTGCACAGCAAAAGATACAATCAACAAAGTGAAGAGACAATCCATTGGATGGGAAAAATGTTCACAAACTACTCATCTGACAAGGGATTAATAACCAGATTGTATAAAGAGGTAAAACAAGTCAATAGCAAAAGAAATCGAATAATATAATTTTTAAAATGGGCCAAAGATCTGCATAGACATTTCTCAGAAGAACACATATAAATGGCAAATGGGTATATGAAAACATGCTCAACATCCTTGATCATCAGAGAAATGCAAATGAAAACTACAATGAGATATCATCTTACTCCAGTTAAAATGGCTTATATCCAAAAGACACACAATAAAAATGCTGGCCAGGAGGTGGAGAAAAGGAACCCGTGTACACCGTTGGTGGGAATGTAAATTAGTAAAACCACTATGAAGGACATTCTGGAGATTCCTCAAAAAGCTAAAATTAGAACTAGCATATGATCTAGCAATCCTATTGCTAGGTATATACTTAAATGACAGAAAATCAGTATATTGAAGAGATAGCTTCATTTTCATGTTTATGGCAGCATTATTCACAATAGCCAATATTTTAAAGCAACCTAAGTGTTCATCAACAAATGAATGGATAGAGAAAAATGTGGCACAAATGCGTAATGTAACACTATTCAGCCATACAAAAGAATAAGATTTCATCATTTGCAGGATCATGAATGAAACTGGAGAACATTGTGTTAAGTGAAATAAGACAGGCACAGAAAGATAAACTTTATATGTTGTCACTTATTTGTGGGAGCTAAAATTACAACTGATCTCATGTAAGTAGAGAGTAGAATGATAGTTATCAGAGGCTGGGAAGGGTAGTGGGGCAGTGGGGAATGTGGATGGTTAATGGATACAAAATATAATTCAATAGAATGAATAAGATCTAGTACCTGTTAGCACAATAGGGTGACTACAGACAACAATAATTTACTGTACATTTAGAACTAACTAAAGGAGAACCATTGAATTGTACTTTTCTTTGCAACACAAAAAAAGAATAAATGCTTGAGGTGATGAATATCCCATTTACCCTTATATGATCACTACACATTGCATGCCTGTATCAAAATATCTCAGGAACCCTATAAAAATATATATACCTACTATGTACTCACAAAAATTTAAAAAATAGAGCACGGAGTATAAATTAAAATGTACATTTTTCTGACATTTCAAGTTATATTTCTATTTGGTAGTAGCATGCATTTGGTTATTTTTGTCTTTGTTGCAGTTACATATATTATTAACTTAGGTAGTGAGTCAGCAAGTCAGGAATGTGTCTCTTGCCCTGGAGATAAGTAAAGGAAGAAAGAGAGAGAGCAAGATAGGGAGTGGAGGGAAGAAAAAGAGAGAAAGAGACAGGAAAAGAAGGAGGAGGAGGAAAAAAGAGGAGGAGGAGGAAAAGAAGGGAAGAAAAAGGAAATAAAAAGTGAAAGCACAGAATAACACATAAATCGAAAGAGAAAAAAGAAAGAAAGTGTGGGAGGAAGAGAGAAAGAGAGGAAGGGAGGAAGGAAAGAAGGAAGGAAGGGGAAAGACTAGAAAGAAAGAGAAAGAAAGAAAGGAAGACAGAAAGAAAGAAAAACAAAAGAAAGGAAGGAAAAAAAGGAAGAGAGGGAGGGAAGGAAGGAAGCGAGGGAGTGGAAGAATAGAAAGAAAGAGAAAGAAAGAGAAAGAGAGAAAGAAAAAGAGAGAAAAAAGGAAAGAAAGGAAAGAAAGAAAGAGGGAAGGAAGGTAGGTGGGAAGGAGTTTCTTTCATTCGGGAACCCATAGCCTAGAGGACATGCTTAAAAAATTTTATCTTTGTAATAATTTAAAATTCATTACAAGTCTTAGAGACATCTTGGATTAGGAGGGCAACCATCAGTGCTCACTATTTGTGTCTTAAAATTTAATGTGCATACAAATCATTCAGATTCTTATTTGTTGGGTCAAGTTGGGGCCCAGATAATGCATTTTTAAAGTTAATACACCTTAGAAAATGCATTATCTGAGACGATATTGATACTCTGAAACCACATGTGGAGTGGCAGGACGTATGGCCCCAGCCTTACGACCAATGAAGGGTTTTGAGGCAGTTTAATTCCTTACAAAGACCTGTAAATATGCTTATAGTTAACAGTTCTTAAACATGGCTGCCCATTGGAATTTCCCAGGGAACCTGAAAAAATTATTGATACCTGTATCTTCTCCTGACCCCAGAATTTCTATAATTGTTCTGGAGTGTGACCTGGGTATTAGAGCGATTAAAAGAACCCCAAGTTTACTGAATTTCTACTGCCGTTGTGAGAAATTTACCACAAGTTTTGTGGTTTTTAAGAACACAAATTTATTACTGTACAGTTCTGTAGATCATAAGTCTAATGGGGATCTCAATGAGCTAAGATAAAGGTGTCAGAAGGGTGCATCTAGAAGTAAGTTCATCTTCCCGTCATTTCTAGTTTTTAGAGGATGCTTGCCTTCCTTGGTTCAAGGCCCACTTACCCAAACTTCAAAGCCAGCAAAATTAGGTCAAGTTTACCACAAGCTGCTGTCCCTCTGGTTCTCTTTTCATAATTACTCTTCCACTTTTAAGGGCTCTTATGATTATATTGTGCCCACGCAGATAGTCCAGAGTAATCTCCCTGTTTAATCACCTGATGATTAACCTTAATTTCATCTGCAAACTTAATTTCTCTTTAACAGAAAATAACATTTTCACGGATTTTGGAGAGTAGAATGTAGACATCTTTGAGGACCATTCTTCTGCCTACCATGCCATGTAACTCTGATTTGTAGCCACGGATGGAAGACAATATAAAGCATTACTTATTGCCACTTAAATTGGACTCAGACAAATAAAATAAAAATGATCTGGTGACATCAGGAGAAAGACATAACTTTTATACGCTTTATAAATTGCTCATTAGTAATATATGTGTACTTCCTCTTGCATGAGGAAATAAAATCTTCTCTTTAACTTCATCTCCTCTTTAATATGTTGTCAATAGTTTCCTGTTAGATATATAGGATATAATATTAACTGAGGAAAAATAGTCCGTTGAGAAGAAAATTGGTGGTGATGGGAGAAACTTTAAATACCAATTTTGGTATTCCAGAATTGTGCACACAATGTGAATTGAACCTTTCCATTTTATTGCTTGAGTCGGTGATCATCACCCTTTTCTATGCCTCTGACCACTGTCTCATTTGAGGCATCTGATAAATTTCTTAAATGTCAGCACCTGGGCACAGGAAACCTCACTGAGATGCCTAAGCTTTAAAGTGACAATCCAAAGGTAAAGGTGATACCAAAAAGGTGATGAATCCACTTATTAGGAATGCAGACCCATTATAATTATATTATGATGCAAATATAGTTGCTCTGAGTAGTCTTATCCTTCAAAATTCAAAACAGCACAGTATGACAGTTAAACATTATAGGAGAGAGGAATAACTACACTATAATGAAAGCAATCAATGATTAGAATCTGCATATTTGCATGCAAAATGAGTGAATACAAATGTACAGTAGGAAAAGAGGGAGAAAATATTTCAAAATTCCAAATACAGGGAACAAAAATTATTTATATAAAAACAGTAAAAACTGTGATATCTCATAATTAGCTTATAAATTTTTTCTTTCTGATTCTCATTTTATATTCAAATACAACTTTCTGGAAGCCCAAACAATGAATCCATAGATAATTGCTATGCCAGATGTGAACATACAAGACTAATACAGAAAACACCCAAGGAAAACAGATTTTTAAAATAACGTCTACTTTAGAAATTACTTTGTTCATGAATCCTTTCCTAACCCTCCAAGTCTGTGTTAATTGATCCTCATATATAAATCTGTCAGTCTGTTTTGTTTTTTTTTTCTTTTTGAGACGGAGGAGTCTCGCTCTTTCGCCCAGGCTGGAGTGCAGTGGCGCTATCTCGGCTCCCTGCAAGCTCCGCCTCCCGGGTTCACGCCATTCTCCTGCCTCAGCCTCCCGAGTAGCTGGGACTACAGGTGCGCGCCACCGCGCCCAGCTAATTTTTTGTATTTTTAGTAGAGATGGTGTTTCACTGTATTAGCCAGGATGGTCTTGATCTCCTGACCTCGTGATCTGCCCGCCTCGGCCTCCCAAAGTGCTGGGATTACAGGAGTGAGCCACCGCGCCTGGCCTCTGTCAGTCTTTATTACCCCGTCAAAGCCTTTATCATGCTAATCTGTAATCATCTTTTTATTAATCTGCATCTTCACCAAATGTTGGAACCTGTGAGCATAGAAATCTCATGGGCTTCTTCACTAATATATCCGTTGTGTTTGGCATATAGACAGGAGTCCGTTAAATATGAATGAGCAAATAAATAGATTTCTATTCCAAAGCTACTTGACTAAAGTTATAAATGAAATAAAACACAATCTCCAGGCTTCTTTTGACAATGCTAACAACAAATTATATACATATATATGTTAATTGAAAATATTGTTAATTTTCAATTTGTTAATTGAAAATATCTTCAAGGGCTTATTCTGGTGGCTGGAAATAGAAACACCAGCAAGGTCAGATTCCCACTCTTCAGGAGCTCACAGTTTCAGCCAAGATACATAAACAGGAAGATACATAAACAATATGCTCTTGTAAGTATGATAGAGATGAGCACAACATGTTCTGATTGGAAAAAAGGAAAGCTCTCAACATATTTTAAGCAGTAAAAAAGTGTTTCAAGACAGACCTCCTGGAAAAGGTGACTTTAAAAATGAATCATAGGCCGGGCTCACGCCTGTAATCCCAGCACTTTGGGAGGCCGAGGTGGGAGGATCACAAGGTCAAAAGATCTAGACCATCCTGGCCAACATGGTGAAACCCCATCTCTACTAAAAATACAAAAATTAGCTGAGCATGGTGGCACGCGTCTGTAGTCCCAGCTACTCGGGAGGCTGAGGCAGGAGAATCACTTGAACCCAGAAGGTAGAGGTTGCAGTGAGCCAAGATCATGTGAGCCAAGACTCTGTCTCAAAAAAAAAAAAAAAAAGATGGATATAGGAACCTTGTGTCTGGCAACCCATGGAATAAAAATAAAAGTAGGAGTTAGCCATGTGGTGGATTGAAGAAGTATATTGCAGACAAAGGAAGCAGAAGGAAGCAGTACACAACTATCTGGAAGAGGGAGAAGAACAGATACAGTGAGAAGTACAAATAGGAGGTGGGATAAAGAGCAGCTGCCCTGAATGTTGCTGAGTTTAACTGAGCTGTCTGTCCCAGCAAAATGTCAAACCAAGCACCAATTTTAGTGTCAGAAATTAATTATACAGTACCCATGTCTATTCTGGTTATATAGTATCCATTATAATGTAGTTATTCCTCTCTCTTATCATATGTAACAATCATACCATACCATTTTGAATACTCAAGACTATTCAGAACAACTATTTGAACCAGAATAGGGCTTATATTTTAAATTTCACTGAGGTGAAATATTAAAACAGTTTCAATGTTTCTCTCAAAGTGTGTGTTCCCAGAGCAACACAACAGCATTCCCTTGGAACTTGTTAGAAATGAAATTCCTTGTGACCTATCGGAGACCTACTAAATAAAAAAACTCTGGGGTGAAGCCCATCAATCTTGTTTTTTTTGTGACACGTCCTCTAGGTGATTTTAGTGTACACTCAAGTTTTAGAGCTACTGTAGCAAATGAACACAAGAATAGCTTTGTAGGAACTTGCTCATTTGTTGTTATTGATGCTGTTGTTATCGGTGGTAGTAGTGGTGGAATAGATTGTAGGTACAATGTTATGAAAAGGCTCTGTTTTAGTGAATATATATATTAGAAATAGGATTGCTTTCTCATCCAGGCTGAAATGCAGTGGTGCTATCATAGCACATCACAGCCTCAAACTCCTAGGCTCAAGCCCTACTCCCACATCAGCCTCCCAAGTAGCTGGGATTACAGGCATAAGCCACCATGCCTGGCACCTATAGAATACTGAAGATACAAACTTGAAAGTGTATGGATTCTGAAATTATTGCATGGAGCAGAGCTGCTTGATAAAAAGACTTTAGGTTTCACATAGCTCTTTATCACTTGGTAAAATAACTCTTTTATTCTTGTTTATCTAGAATTGCTTTAATCTATAATGTGTGTTATTTTATCAAATGCCTTATTAGCATCTATCAAGATAGTGACATGTTTCCTCACATGGGTATGACATTAATAATCTCATAATGTTGCATTATCCTTACATGTTTGTAATGATTCACATATACCCTTGAAATGTATTAAAAATGAATAATTCAATTTTTCTTTTTGATATTCTACTGAGTTTTAAAAGTAAGTTCTCTGTGAATTTAGTATCCGTATTCAAACTAAGAATGGTCTGTTGTCTTATATGTGTTTGCAAGTGTATATGGCTGTGTGTATTTATGTGTGTACATGTGTGCTTAGGAAAACTTTATTAAATTAATTTTAAAACTTTCAATTTTATATTTTTTGCTTATTATTATTTATGCATTTATTTTTGTTGCAAAACCAATTGACCCAAATCTCAGTGTCTTAAAATATCAACAATCATTTATTATATCTCATGGTTTCTGTGGGTGAGTAGTTCTGAAACAGCTGTCTGGTTGGTTCTAACTAGGTTCCCCTCATGTGTTCCTCATTACACAGTGGCTAGAACTGGAAGAGTGAGGGGTTGTAGCAGATAGAGGCAAGCCGGTCATCTCCCACTCCTCATGGAGTTTCAGGCTCTCTCCACTGTTTTCTTTTTGTGGTTACTCAAAGTACCTGGATTTCCTACATGATGGTTCACAGTTCCAAAGGATCCGGAGAAAGACCAGTTAGAAGGTGCATTGTGTTTTCTAACCTACCTTGGACGTCACGTCTTATCTGTCAAGTTATATTTTTTATATTAGGCTAAGTTCATAAAATACATGTAAATGTTTTCCATCATCTTATATTCTCTCTAGGACAATTAAAATGGTTTATTTAAAATAATTCTCCATAAAAATATTTTGAGCCAATTATTACTAGGGTTTTTAATGTTATCGGAATTTGATCAATAATAGATTAATATTTAGCACTTGGTTATCCTGCTTTGTGCAGTTGTCACACAGCTTAATGGATATTATTTACATCTCAGTAACACTGTAATCTTCTGATACTATATCTTTTATATTTCCCTCCTAGCGTAATTCCCAATGTACAGTTGTTGCCTTATAAATGTCTCAATGTAGACAAATAGCTTAATGTAATACAAAACTATATTTTATCAAATGAAAGGTAATACAGCATCATTAAATGAGAAAAAAAATTGTGCTCTGGATTTTGAAAATTGGTTCAGCTGTTACCTAGCTGGACTTACGTATATTTTAGGATGCATGATATTGAAGGTGAGGCTAAACCAACTCAAATGCACTTTAAATGAATGGAGAGGGGATCCATTGTCTTTACCAAGAGAAGAGCATAATGGTTTAAATACAGTTTAATGTTCCAAAGGGCATAAAAATTCAAATGATGATATATGTAATCCATTCCATCTCTTGTTTGTCTTCTTCTCATAAGCAGATGGTTTCTCCTCATGTCATTGAAAGATGGTTGGTCACTAGTAATTCCAGGGAATTTCCCATTTCTGGTTAACATTCAGAATAAAGAGGGAATTTATTTTCCCCAATCTAAATAAAAATTCTAAGATTCACTGTGATCAGACTGGCTTAAACCACACGCTACCTTTGAACTATACCTGGTATCCTGGGGAAAAGTCTAGGTGTAGGTCTAGGTGTAAAACTCTATGCAGACAACTGTACTGAGAATGGGGGATGGACATATCTCTAAAGGAAAAGCTCAGGAAAGCTAGCACTTTAAGAAAAGGATTGGTTGTAAAATAGTAATATGCACTCAAGTAGCAAGTTACATAGCTTCTCTATGTCTTAAGCTGTCTCATCTTTAAAATTGGAATAACATAATTCAAAGTGATTTTAAAGTATCTACCACAGTGACTAGAGTAACGCTCAGTTAGGATTACTTTCATCTCCTAGTCAAATGTTTGTGAAACAATTATAACAATCCTATTAATTGATTTAGCAAACAAAATTCAATCTAGTAGGATAATAATGAAGTAACACATATAATAATAATAATCATGCCTGACTATGTATGCTTTTTTATATATAAAATGTATACATTGGATAGGTTAAGCTATATAGAAGTAATAAATTCTAAAATTTTAGTGATATAATACAATAAAAATGTACTTTTTGCTAATATCAATCTGATGTAGGTCAAACAGTTCTCCACCAGATTGTAATTCAGAAACCCAAGCTATGTGTATCCTGTGGCTTTCAGTTCACCCTGACTTTATCCAAACAGCAGTAGCAGACATGACAGGGAAGGAGAACATAGCGAGAACGCGGGGATCAACCAGTATTGTCAGGACCATCTTTGGAATGTCATGAATCATTTATGCCCGCATTCTGTTTGCCAGGAACCAATCATATATGTCAACTTAATTGCAAATGGGGTTAGGAAATATAGTCTTCCTTATGTCCAAGAAGAGGAAATGGTGAGGTGAGTATCTACCCTGTCTTTGCTGTAGACCCCTACACATTCTGGTCACCACATATCTCCTTTTGCTTGGAGGAAACACTCACCTCTTTAGAAGGATGGCAGCCCCAAAAGTCCCATTCAGGCCCTGGAAAGTGTTGCTCATTGTTTTCTAGAAGGCCTGGATATAGAAGACTTGGGTCTGGCAACCCATGGAATAAAAATAAAAGTTAACTGCTCTCCACTCCCATACATTTTAATATGTAAAGGAGAGGCAGGGCTAAAATAACCAAAACAGACCTCCAGTCTTAAACAGAAAGAATGGAAGAAACAGTGTGGCGATTGGCCCAGGGGAATTTTGCATGGCCTTTCTCCAGCTCTAAGAGAATGGGAGGCAGAGGAATAGATGCCAAAGGCTGCTTAAGTCTCAAACGGGCACTGTTTTTTAAGTTGCAGGCATCATAGTTTTCTGGAAATACAGTTCCCACAACCACATGGTAGGCTTCTGATGTATTTAAATCTCTTTTGCTTTATGTGGTGATCCTAGAAATAATTTTTTATGTCCAATTGATGTCTGTGCTTTCTCATCCTCATGATTCTTTCTCTCTCAAATATCTCAAAGTCATTGGGGTTCAATAGAAAACGCAATCCTTCATCTGGTCTGTTCTCTGAGAAGTTTTTACTCAGTCTCCATCAGGTAAAGTCTTTTCAAATCCCATTCCTTATATTTGCAGTCTACAATTTCCAATCCTGAGAGACCCCGCATTTACGGATTCTCTGTTCATTTTCATCTATGTTTGCAAAGTGACTCATTCTTTCCTGACCTTTCCCACTTCTGAAAAGGCTTCCCAAACATAAACAATCACAACTAAACCAAAACAATCTAGTTCATGCATGGAAATTAAGATGCTGTTCTGCTAGCTTCATGGAAAGGGGCTAAAGTAGAACTTTCTATACTCAATCTTCTTCTTTTTTTTTTTTTTTTTGACAAAGTCTCGCTCTGTTGCCCAGGCTGGAGTGCAGTGGCGTGATCTCGGCTCACTGCAACCTCCACCTCCCGGGTTCAAGTGATGATCCTGCCTCAGCCTCCTGAATAGCTGGGATTACAGGTGCCCATCATCACACCCGGCTAATTTCTGTATTTTTAGTAGAGATGGGGTTTCACCATGTTGGCCGGGCTGGTCTCAAACTCCCAGCCCCAGGTAATCCGCCTGCCTCGGCCTCCCAAAGTGGTGGGATTACAGGCGTGAGCCACCGTGCCTGGGCCCTAGTCTCAATCCTCTTTCCTTAGAGATGTAGCTGGTGTAGTAAGTGCTGATTTGGGGCAAAACTTTTACCAAAGATTTGCCTCTGAATGCCATTGACATATTTCCAGCATCTGATATTGATTTTCTTAGTGTCTGCTGCCCAATTGATGAGCAAAAGTTATTTCACGCTTTTCTTAAAGCAATACCACATTTTTTGCGCCAATTTTCCTGTTAGTCAGAGTAGACAATCTAAGTCATAGATAAATTCTAAAGGCTCAATGGCCTTAGCAGAGGAGTTTATTTCTCACTCACATGGAAGTCTGAGACAGGTCAGGTGGCTGTCTTCCAAGAGTGATGTTAGAACCCAGGCTTCTTATATCTTATGTCTCTATCACGCTGAGGCTTCAAGGTTGGCCTAGGGTTATCTACCTGGCAGATTGGGCAGACAGGCTTAGGGAAGGAGAGGAGGTAAAAAATTAGACAAGTCATTCTATTGTTAGAGCTGGAAGCAGCGTATATCACTTCTGTGCCCATCTCTTGGCCTGAACCCAGCCATATCATCCAATTGCTAAAGGAATTTAGTCTTTCGAAAGTGTTTCCATGAAGACAAAAGTTCAGTGAGCATGTAGCCTGTGTTTTCAATATCGAGGATGATTATTCTCAAGAAATCAGTTCAATTAATTCCATGTAATGATAATGGCCTAAGTATGATTTCTGAAACAAGCAAATTGTGTGTTCTGAGTGTGGGTGTATGTACATGAATATGGACATTCACACATTGGGTACATACGGAGGACATTGACATCTTCAGAATTTGCTGATCTTGCCACTGGCTTCCTCTGCAATGTTGTCATTCCAAGAAAAGAAAGCTCAATTCTAAAACGGACAAAGATGCTTTTCAAAGTTGTTCAACAGCCGCAGGCAAATGCCTTAAGCTGCTGCATTTCAGTCATCAAGGACCTTCCTTATGCTTTCTCTGCCTAAGATCCTCAAACAGAACTTCTCCCAGTGAGGTAACACTATCCTCACATGAAAAGATAAGGAGATGCAAGGAAAGAAAGCAGGTTAGGGATGGATCCCTGTAATGTCTTTCATGTTCCTGGAGAGCTTTCTGTCCTTTTTTCTATATATTCAAAAAGAATATTCTAGTCTAGGCTATAGGATTCCTTTATTTTATTATATGTATTTTTAATGACAGTGCTCTCCTTTTAATTTTTATTTTATTTATTTATTTTTGGAGTTTTCACTCATTTTCACACATCACTTCCCATGACATGTATATATGGGAGTCATCATTGATTTGTCTTTTATTTTTAAATGTATGTTTCTTTTAAAAATAAAGTGTATTCAGTCCAATCAACTGGATCCTGAAAAAAGTAAAAATAAAAATAAAGTGTAAAAGAAAAGCATCTGTGGTTTAAATGTCATCAATTAAGGAATGGTGAGAACACTCCTATTTTATAGAATGAGGTGTTGCCTGATTCTAGAATCAAAAATAAAGCCAATAACATCTTAAAAAAAATAAAAAAGAAATGGAGATTAAGTGCCTCTGTCACTTGGCTGTTAGTCATAGATTTTCCCATGTTTAGCAAAAATTGGAATTTTTCTATTAATTAATTTACATTTAACCAAAATAATTATCTCCCTTGTATGTGTAGCAGTTGAAATTTCTATTTTAGCCCCTTTCTTTTTTTTTAAATTTTAGCCTCCTTCTATAAAACCAGCAGAACACCATCTTAATTTTCATGAATCCAGTTTCCACAACTTTGCCAAATAGATCAAACACGTTTACATTTTCATTAATAAAATAACCACATGTGTTGTTAAGAGTACTAGTGTGGGTGGCTCTGTCACCTTTATTTTCTTCTCTGCAACCCAAAGCTTCCTTTACTCTGAATCACCACCTTGATGCCCTTTCATCTCATGACAGTTGGATAGGTCACCTTATATCAGTTCTTACTTGATCTAATGGTTGATCTAATCTCGCTGTCTCTGGCAGCTTATTTTTTTTTTCTTTTCATTCATAAACTGGGGTAAATAACAGTATAACACCTGTCATGTAAGAATTGTTCAGTAGTATTAGCTGTCTTTATTCAAAACACGTTTTCTTTCTTGTCTAATGCAACATAATAACAAGTTTAATATAATAGTTATTTGAAAGAATTGGCTAGAGATTTATTTGTAAAGTGCTTACAACTTGCCAGCCACTATACCTGGAGCCATGGAGAGACATGACATAGTCCCAGTCTTTGTAAATCTCATAAGTCTAGTGGAGAAGATAGATGAGCAATCAGATCATTGTAATATGTTAATTAATGATGGAGAGGCAGAACAAAATATAACAATTCACTTTTTTTCAAATGAGTAGGAATGAAAAAACTTCAAAGATGAAGAAACATTTGCGTGAAGAGTTGATGGATGAGTAGGGGCTTACTAGGTAGGGGAGGAAGGGTTATCTTAGGCAGAGAGAACAACTTGTACAAGTGATTATAGGATAAGTCATGCAATACAGCACTGCACATAGGCTATGTATGTGTACCTGAGAGTAGCAGGAAAAGAAGCCACTCATGCCACTTAAGATGCCAAAGGAGTAAATTTGAAAGACGTTAAGTATAAGAGTGATAACAGATTCGCTGATATTTACTGATAGGCTTTCGGGGAGAACTCTCCCTTATCTTTTTATTTAGGTGAGTAGAGAAAAATGGGGAACAACAAAATCAGAAAGCTAAACTTCAGTCCTCAGAAACAAGTTTTCAGAATGAAACTTGTATTGACAGATTTATTTCTGTAATAAATATTGTTGATAACACATTGTGTTTACTTAATACAGTGAAAAACAGGTATTATTCCTATGCTTGAATACTTATTGTCTGTCACAATCATTTCAATTTTACTATACACTGTCTTGTGATATGTTACTCTTTCTGCAAAATTTTTAAATTAAAATGTAATATAGTGTGTATACTTACATAAATTATATATGCATATAATTTGCATGTAAATGTTTTATGTATTTGCATATATAAATATATTTATATCTATTTATCTAACTATATATTAAGCCCCTGAAAGCAATGATTATGAATAACATTCTTTTAATGGCACACTGTAAATACTCCACAACCCCATCGTCTCAGCCCAAAATCTCCTTAAGCTGATAAGCAACTTCAGCAAAGTCTCAGGATACAAAATCAATGTACAAAAATCACAAGCATTCCTATACACCAATAACAGATAAACAGAGAGCCAAATCATGAGTGAACTCCCATTCACAATTGCTTCAAAGAGAATAAAATACCTAGGAATCCAACTTACAAGGGATGTGAAGGACCTCTTCAAGGAGAACTACAAACCACTGCTCAATGAAATAAAAGAGGATACAAACAAATGGAAGAACATTCCATGCTCATGGGTAGGAAGAATCAATATCATGAAAATGGCCATACTGCCCAAGGTAATTTATAGTTTCAATGCCATCCCCATCAAGCTACCAATGACTTTCTTCACAGAATTGGAATAAACTACTTTAAAGTTCATATGGAACCAAAAAAGAGTCCGCATCGCCAAGTCAATCCTAAGCCAAAAGAACAAAGCTGGAGGTATCACGCTACCTGACCTCAAACTATACTACAAGGCTACAGTAACCAAAACAGCATGGTACTGGTACCAAAACAGAGATATAGATCAATGGAACAAAACAGAGCCCTCAGAAATAACGCTGCATATCTACAACTATCTGATCTTTGACAAACCTGAGAAAAACAAGCAATGGGGAAAGGATTCCCTATTTAATAAATGGTGCTGGGAAAACTGGCTAGCCATATGTAGAAAGCTGAAACTGGATCCCTTCCTTATACCTTATACAAAAATTAATTCAAGATGGATTAAAGACTTAAATGTTAGACCTAAAACCATAAAAACCCTAGAAGAAAACCTAGGCATTACACCATTCAGGACATAGGCATGGGCAAGGACTTCATGTCTAAAACACCAAAAGCAATGGCAACAAAAGACAAAATTGACAAATGGGATCTAATTAAACTAAAGAGCTTCTGCACAGCAAAAGAAACTACCATCGGAGTGAACAGGCAACCCACAAAATGGGAGAAAATTTTCGCAACCTACTCATCTGACAAAGGGCTAATATCCAGAATCTACAATGAACTCAAACAAATTTACAAGAAAAAAACAAACAACCCCATCAAAAAGTGGGCAAAGGACATGAACAGACACTTCTCAAAAGAAGACATTTATGCAACCAAAAAACACATGAAAAAATGCTTACCATCACTGGTCATCAGAGAAATGCAAATCAAAACCACAATGCGATACCATCTCACACCAGTTAGAATGGCAATCATTAAAAAGTCAGGAAACAACAGCTGCTGGAGAGGATGTGGAGAAATAGGAACACTTTTACACTGTTGGTGGGACTTTAAACTAGTTCAACCATTGTGGAAATCAGTGTGGCGATTACTCAGGGATCTAGCACTAGAAATACCATTTGACCCAGCCATCCCATTACTGGGTATATACCCAAAGGACTATAAATCATGCTGCTATAAAGACACATGCACACGTATGTTTATTGCGGCACTATTCACAATAGCAAAGACTTGGAACCAACCCAAATGTCCAACAATGATAGACTGGATTAAGAAAATGTGGCACATATACACCATGGAATACTATGCTGCCATAAAAATGATGAGTTCATGTCCTTTGTAGGGACATGGATGAAATTGGAAATCATCATTCTCAGTAAACTATCGCAAGAACAAAAAACCAAACACCACATCTTCTCACTCATAGGTGGGAATTGAACAACAAGAACACATGGACACAGGAAGGGGAACATCACACTCTGGGGACTGTTGTGGGGTGGGGGGAGGGGGGAGGGATAGCATTAGGAGATATACCTAATGCTAAATGACGAGTTAATGGGTGCAGCACACCAGCATGGCACATGTATACATATGTAACTAACCTGCACATTGTGCACATGTACCCTGAAACTTCAAGTATAATAATAAAATAAAATTAAATATATATATAAATGTATGAGTTGAAAGTAATTATATATTTAGCAGAAAAAGCTCCTCTCTCTCTCAGCCCTACCATGGTTTATTGCTTTATTCCTGTGTTCTTGCCAAAGATTTCTTGTATTATGTATTATACTTTCCATTATGATCACCTCACTGATACTAATTCTCATAATGTTGATCTTGGGGAAAGTTAGTAAACATAACAATAATAATGCCACCTTTTATCAAGTGCCAACAGGGTGTTGAATTTGGTTCTTTCCTGATATTTCACATAACAGTCTTATCAGGAATCATTGTTATCCTTTTATGGGTGACATCTTAAATCCAGAGAAGTGTGTAATTTACTCAAGACCACACAGCTAATGAGTTAAAGGAACTAGGATTTGAATCAATGGTCCTCGGACTTAAAAGCTTAATTAGTATTACTTTAGACTTTACAAAGCAGTTATGATTTCATTTTGACCCCACAACTTCCCAATGTGGTAAATATTCACCTGATTTTCACCTGGTAAAAGAAATTCAGAGAGGTGAATATTCACCTGAACTGAGACTCAGTGTGATAAATATTCACATGATTTTCACCTGATACAAGAACTGAGACTCAGAGAGATAACATGACTTCCCCATGAGTTAAGGTTGAAATATGGTATAGTTTGCATTCCATTCCAGGTTTTCTTTTTAATTAAAGTATGGTTGTACCACGAAGTTGAATTGGATGGGCTTTTTTACTACTGGGATGTTGTAGGCGGCTCTCAGTTTGATTTTGAGTAAATCAACTGGAGCACGGAGATTAAAGAAAAATAAAACAAAACAAAACAAAACATTAATAAGTTCTTCCCATCACAAAATTAAATATTTTTAATAAAAACTTTTTCGTTTTTAATAAACTCTTATTTCTCATTTAAACATCTATCCATTATGGCCAACCACACAGCCCCTTAATGAGAAGCAAATTAAGTTGTTTGAAAACACATTCAGTAAGCTGTGTTTTTCCATGGACCAGTGGCAGAGGGAAGAGAAAGTGATTGTGCCAGGCTGTTGGCTGACTAGAGCTAATGGCATTTGGTCTTGTGAAATGGATATTAATTATTCTACACTATTGAACTTGGTTTGCTCTTGATAGATTTTTCCCCTTCTGAATTAATGTCTGTCCTCTCTTGATTAATTTAGAGTGATTGTACTGCAAGTCACTTAATTACATATTCTTTCTAAAGTCAAAAATTATTCATCGTGATGAAGGCAGTCATTTTGATTTCTCATAAAAAGAGTTCCCAAGTGTCTCAAGTATAGATCTTGCAGAGTTAGTGGGAAAAGTTCTACTTTATCCAGGAAGGGCACCAAAGCTAGAGAAGCCTCCTCATAAATCTCATTTAGGATGTTTCCCTATAACTCGCCAGGCAGAGCTATTTGAGTTGCACATCATGATATCTGAAAAAAACAGAGACTTCACCTAGCTAAAGTATAAAACATAAAGAGAATATTCTGTAAGTTATTTGCTCCAGGACATGACAGTATAGGTGAATGAGTTTCAAAATATGTGAAAGTTTTTCCTGGGAGAGAAAATATTGTATTTTTTTTTCTCTCCCAGATATTGTAAAGAGAACACTTATTTAAAGTGAGAAAGCCTAGATTTTCTAAAACTAACTGAATTTGTAATCTAATCTCTTCTATGTGTAAAATAGGCATTATAATGTCTACCCTCCAGATTGAAAGTTGTTGCAAGAATCATGTAATCTTTGAAAGAGCATGCTATTTAGACATGCAGTATGATTGTCACTATTTTTCTGGGCAGAAATTTTTAAGAGATAATCTGTGAGTAGCCTTTGGTTTCTTCCAAAAACCAGTTTAGTTAGAGCAATTTAGGAGTTCATGGTCCTCCCTAGCTCTGTCATTCAACTGGTTGTGCATATTATCAGACAGTAAACAAGTGGTGCATCCTTTCAGATCTTAAGCTCATTGTCTATTAAGTAGACAGTATATTTTGCTTTTCAACTTATGTTTTCTTGAAAGCACATTTTATAGGATTTAAAAAAATAAATGCAGATATTCCAGGTACCTGGGAAAGAAGTGCTGCCCAATGATTTAGGGCTTCAAATTTGTAGTCGACCCAACTTAGAATCATATCTCAGTTCCTCTATTATTACATGTCCAAAGACATGTAATAATAGACAAATCACCTCAATTTGCTTGGACAAATCACCGCAACTTGCTAAGTTTCAGTTCCCTAATCTATAAAATATGTCTAGCAATGGCATCTAACTTATAGTGTTGTTAGGAGGATTTAATAAAACAATAAATGTAAAGAACCTAGCATAACACCTGCTTAATACTTTGCTCAGTAAATGATAGTTCCGTCTTCATATACTCCCAGCCAATTTATTTTTGTAGAGAATGACTTTTCAGATAATTTTAGTAAATGTAACCATCAGACATGTTTAAAAGCCAATTTAGCCTCTGTGCCCCTCAGCACTGATAAAAGGGTAGCTGAGGGCATTGGTCTTGCAATTTTAACTGCATGCAAAATGATCTCCCACTTTTTCATTTGTCATCTAATCCTCATATCGGATCATCACTATCTATATCCTCCTGGGAAAATAAAATTGTATTTGTTTTCCTTGGATGCCTGAGTATTTCTGGCATTGTACCTGGTACTTTGCATACTTTCTCTCATTTTATTTCTATAACCACCCTCTCAAAGCAAATACTCTCAAAATTTTTAAATGGAGAAAGTGAAGGTTAGAGAAATTAAGTAATTGTCCAAGGTCACACAGCTGGTAGGTGGCAGAGTTAGCATTTAAACCTGGGACTTTTGACTCAAGCATTGCACAATTCAACCTTGGGTTGTACAGCTGGAAACAGCCAATTTCTTAAAAATATGGGTTATTGAGAGATAACTGTCTTCGGAAGGATGTTTGCCCAAATAGTAACTGTGATTACATTTGGGAGGTAGGGTTTCAAACAAAATTTGATTTCTTCCTCGCACTGTTTAAGAATTTCGTTTTTATTTTTATTTTCCATTGAGTATGCATCACTTTTATAAATTAGCAGTTTTTAACTGACTATCTCACAATGAAATTTCACCTAATTTCAGGTGATCTACAGAAACAGAAAAAGCTATTCACTCAATAGAGGTCGGTTTTCTACCTTACTGACTATCAAGCTGGACACATAACTATTGTTCATGCAAATAAAGTTCTAGTTTTAGAAAGTGTGACTCATAAATTAATGTGACTTGTCTGTCCCAACAGTCTGAAAATAAGAACGACGGGACAATAGAAAGCCACAAAGCAAACACTTTTTTTGTCTTCAAACTTTGAAAGCTCTTTTGGCTGATATTAACAATAGTTTCATTTTTTTCTTTAAGTAGACAATGGTTGATTTGTAATTAACTTATACATCCAAGGATCTCCAGGCCCAAAGAATTGTTGGCTCTGTAACAACAGATGGCTAAAATCTGTGTTTCTTTTTAAATTTCTGACAGGAAAGTCTTTCTATGACGCATCTCCAATTCCTTCCTTCCAAGAAAATGCCCATTTCCAAATTTAGCCTACTGGGAAGCAATAAAAAGATAATGGAATTTAGAGTCAGTAGATCAGGGTATAAGTCTGGGCTTTGTCACCGGTTGGTTATAACTTTGGTCATATGTTATAATCTCTCTGAATACCACATGCTTCATCATTCATTTATTCATTTAACAAAAATTTATTGCATTTATATTATGGGCCAATTATTTTTCTATGTATTGGGAATACAATGGTGATAAAAAAATACATTTCATGTTCTCTTGCAGCTCCGTTCTAGTGGGATAGGCAAGGCTTAGTCAAATAGCCAAATGAGGAACATATATCTATGAAGTAATAAGTCCTCTTATGAAAGAATTCCTGTAATAGTATTTGCAGGCGGGGAGTAGTTTGGGAAGGAGTTCCCTGAGAAAGTGATGCTTAGCTGAGAATGGGAGAAAAAGAAAATCAAGTAGATAGAGGTAGTTGGTGGAATGATAGCGAAGAATATTAAGATATTACCCACAGAAATAAAAGGTTGTGCAAATTCCCTGTAGGAGCAGAGAGCATGATTGATTTAAAAAACTGAGTACAGCTGAGAGCTGAGAACAGGTAGGAGAGTGGTACAGGTAAGGAGGTGAAGAAGAGATAGTGGTACTCCTTAAATATTCATTTACTCACATACAAACTCCTCACCCCTTTCAGGCAGAGGAGCTCTGAGAATATCATCTTTGCCTGAGGCAATTAAAGGGCATGCACAATTAATTATCTAGTACCTCTTTTTCTCTTCTGGGGTCAATGAGAATACCTTGTATTGATATGGCAAAGTTTCCAAAATTAACTGATCCAGATGTAAGTCGCTATTTGGAGAAAAATTATTCAGAAGAGTTGAATGGACATGTGGCATTGTGTAACAAATAGATTAATAGATAAAATGCTATGTTAGGCCACTGGAATTTGGGGTTTGCTTATGATTGTAGCATAGCATAGCCTAACCCGACTATTAGAGATGGTGTCAGACTACACAGGGCCTTTTGGGCCAAATTAATAATTGGGATCATTTTTTAAGCATTGAACTATCTTTCAAAAAGTAGAGATTTTCAGATATTTTTCTTTGGGGGAAGAATCCTATGCTAAATATGTGAATGCTTGATGAGGTTAAGAGAGTTTTGATAACTATAAATTATTCATTATAGCTGCATTTACCATGCTCCCAAGAATATTGAAGAGACCAAGTATGAAAAATTAAGTCTGGCGTTTTCCAAAATGCAAACCATCACACAAATATTCTAGCTTTCTGATATGACTATATTGCCCTAGTTGCTATTTTTCCTTTGTCCTAGAAGCCAGTATCTTTATATATGTGCTGTTCTCTGTGCAGTTGTAATCCATATACCAAAAAGTAATTCTGTGAAATTGGTTAGTTTGTTCTGCCCTGCAGTCAATAGCAATTTTGTATCCACGGATCTGAGAGTGGAGCACTGCTTAATAGGAAAGTCTTCCAATGTTTCAGAATGAAGTTTTCAATCTGTACGTTTGTTGAGATGCCAATATATTCACCTTAACTCTATCAAAAATAAGACGTTCTTATTTCTTTGCCTTTTGCTAGTCATTGGAAGTTTGAATTGAAAAACAAAATTGAGACCAGGCTGAGAAATGTAGTAAAATATGAGAAAAAGAGCTTATTATATGCAATCTATTGTTTTGAATAAATTTCTACAGAGCAAAAAATGGAGCATTTTGATTCTGTGCTCTGGGAAGTTAACACAAACAGTGGGACATTTATACAGTGATATACAAAAATATACTTTGTTTTAGGTGCTCTGGGGGAATATGCTGAACAAAACCAGACTCAGCTTCTATCCTCCCTCCCTCCATTTACAGTGTAGTGAAGAGAATACACAATTCTCCTTATTGCATTTGATCAAATTTGCTTCTACCAAAGAGAGAAAGGTAACCTATCTTTTCATTGAGCAGCTAGTAGATGGCACAGATTTTGTTACTAGATTATTTTCATGCATTATATAATTTAATTTTTAATACTTTCAATTTATTTTTTATAATAATAATAGGGACAGGAGGCAGAGAAATTCTAGGCAGGAAAATGCGGGTCCCTGGCAAAGTCCCACCCTCAAGCCAAAAAGCCTGAGACTGTGGCCCAAAGTGAGAACTTCCATCCCTGTTTTCCTGCTTAAATGTTGCCTTTTCCAAATGCACCCATGACCCTGCCCTGTCCCCCATCCTGTGCCGATAAAAACCCCAGACTCAGCCAGCAGCAAGGAGAAGCACCTGGATATCAGAGACTACAGCTGGATGTCAGAGAGAAGCAGCTTGAAGTCAGAAGGACAGCCTGACGGCATAACTTTGGAGAAGAATCTGGCTGGAGATGGCTGAACTTCAGGGGAAGATTACCTTCCCACCCATCCCTTTTTCAGCTTCCCTTCCTGCTGAGAGCCATTTTCATCAGCAATAAAATCCCCTGCATGTACCATTCTTCAGTTCGTTTGCACAACTCATTTCTCTTGGATGCTTGACAAGAGCTCAGGAGCCATGACTGAGGATAGGAAAGGCTGACATACTGACACTTTGCCTTTGCTGGTAGAAGGCAGAGGGCCCATTGATCTGTTAACACTTAAGGCATTCGTGGACAGCAGAGCTAAAGGAGCACTGTAATACTCCCCACTGAGGCTTCAGGGATTTTGGGCATCCTCCCTAGACACTGCCACAGGGCCCACACAGAGTTTGCTCCTTCCAGGGCCAAGAAGCACCCCCCCCAGCTCCTGTACCCACTCACCTGTGTGCTTCCTTCTGTGACGGGTGGAACACAGTGGGTTTGAGTGAGTGGAGTTCACCTCTGCTGGCACTGGAGTGGCTGGCTGGTTCTAGCACTCCTGCACTCCAGTTCCCACCTTGTTTTTTCTCATGCTCCCTCCCATGAGGTGTTGAGAGCTACAGGCTGAGTAAATGAGGCACCCTTATTGCAAATCCCATGAAGGGGTCAGGTAAATATCTTTCTTCAATAATACATCTAGTTCCCTATGTGCTAGACATTGCGCTAAGAGTTTTATGTACAGTATTTTAGTAATGTACATAAAAGGGGTTTACCACATTCTACAGAATAGGAAATTAAGGATCAGAGAGGTGCATTGATGTCCCCAAGATAATATTTCACATGGTATGTGATATGAATCCCATTCCCATGCTATTTCTCCTGTTACTATGTGTAGCATACTTCTAGGATTATCTCTTCCAAAATAAGATGACTAAATAATATGACATAGATGTATGCCTAAAAACACATTCAGCAGGACCCTAATGGCACAATGTTATTGGTGCTTTGGAAAATACATTTTTCTCAGCCAAATAAGTTTAGGTGCAAGGTAGAAAGTCACAAATATCTCTTTACCATTACACTTCCCAGAGCCTATCATATGTTGATCTGTTATGCAGATTTCCAAGAGAGCATGGTATGCAACATCTTCTAAAGTTACTTGATTACAGAGACATTCATTCATGGGGCAGAAGGAGGGGAAAGGAAGAGGAGTTGGTCAACAGGAAGCAGGTGGTTGGCTAGGCAGTTATGATGAGTGAGGGATCTGGGATCTCATTGTCCAAATGCAGTGATCTGGTGAGTTTCAGCTCCTTGAGACTATTTGGGGAGGCCTGATGGTTGGTTTCCTGAGAGAGAAACTCAGTTAAGACAAATTCAACTTTCTCAAGTTTTAAGACTGAGAGGATTAACTTCTATGTTTATTCAAAGACACCCTAAACATCAGCTCTACTGGGCTATTACATCAGTTTCAATTGAAGTTGGGGAGGGGAGCTCTTTTGTTATGTCTTCCTCAGCCCATAATAGTAATAGTGTAGCATCTTCCACAGGTAGATGGGTGTTTTGAAAACATCTACAATTTAACTCTCTTTATATCTGTTAGGAGTCAGAATTGCAGCAATAGAAAGCACCTTTAGCTAATTTGAATAGACACTAGTTGCACTGAAAGGATATTGGAGAGCTTAGACACTACTAAAAAGATGGGAGAATGAGGTTTGGGACTGTGTATATTAGGCCAATGCAGAACTGGTCAGGGAACCCTGTGCCATTGTGACCATGAGGTCCTGTTTGCTGATGTTTATCACACTGGTCTTGTGGCTCTTGGCATTGCCAGTAGCACTGCTGTCACCAAGATTTAGAAATTTAGTCCTCCTACATTTACCACTAGAAAGACAAAATCCCTCCTGGTTCCTGGGACTCTAGGGTCAGTTCATCCAATACAGAAACTTGAGCTTCTGTGCCTAGTTTATGGCTACAAAGGAAGCTTCAGAAAATAAGTGTCTGCTATTTCTGTCTTTCATAAGTTAGGAGGCAGTTTTTGCTTCATAAGGGACATTGTTCAGAAATGGATAGATGAAAGGATGCTGAAGAATTTCTCACTCTTTTTATAATTTTTCAATTTAAAACATGCACTTTTCTTTTCTCATTGAACCATACTTGACCTTGTAAATTTGTATGACCATGTTTTTGAGGAGATAAGATTAGGATCTGAAACATATGTGATCAATAAACATTTGGTACATAAGTATCCATAAAGTTCCAATACATAGCCAGGGCCATATTATAAGTATCAGAGTTGGGATACAAATACAAATCTCTTTATTTCTACTCTGGATTTTTGATCTCCTCATAGAAACATAATTATACTGGTTGTTTATGTCAGTACATTTTTATACTACTTAGAGAAAAATTAAAGATGCAAATGCATTCTAGACATGTGGAAAAATACTAGCATTCTCAGTTAGATGTGAACTTATTAAGCAGCATGATTTTCTTGCAATATTTGTTACTAGCCCAAAATTGACAGAAAAGAATAAATCATTTGCTAAATCACCACGTTGGCATGGTTTAGTTTATTGGATACAGAGGGTAGGAAGCAAAGAAAACCCTTGGATTCCATGATGATTAACACAGAACATAATATGTTTAACACTGTGTGCAAAGCATTGTCTTTTAGAATTAAAGGGTAGTCCCACAAGGAAAGGTAAGGCTCAGAAGGGTCAGATTGACATGAGCTACCTGAAAAATAAACATAAATTTGTTGCCCAGAATGTTTTCTCCATCTTAGAGTTTTAAAATATTCTAAAGTTATTTCCAGCATCCATGATGGAAGGTAATATGTAAATAAGAAATTTAAAATAAAAACAGTTGTATTCTAAAATCATTTAGTCAAGGGACAGTCAAGGCTTTAATTTTAAATGATGCAAAAAAAAAAAGAATAACCATGAAAGAGATATAATGCAGGAGATAAGGAAATATATCAGTGATCTGATGACAGACAGCATCAGAAACTCAAATCCTAGCTTCTCAGCCCAAATTTAGTAAATAAAAACCACAGCAATGAAACAGCTAGCTCTGTTTGGGAGCTCAAAGCTCACTTAAGCTTGGGAACATTCCCACTCATGTTCTTTCTAGTAATTCATCAGTTCCCCTATTGAAGCCCTTTCCATGGCCCCCATGCTGGCATTTCTGAATCACATCTGAGCAACCAACAACTTTCTAGGGAGAAAAAATAACTATTATTAAATTTGGTCTGGATTAATGGTGTGGATGAGTTTGTATCACTTCACTTGCTCTCCATTTTCTATCTTCTTTTGTCTAACTCTGCATATTGTGTTTTATTTTCCCTGATAATAAAAATTGAATTTTATGTGCCCTTTATGTAGTAGGAGCTGGGTTTTATGTGCATCATTTTATTTAATCTATAGGACAACAATGTGGGTAATTATTATCTTCACTAAACAGGTAAGAAAACAAAACTAGTGAATTTAAGTGGCATAATCCAGGTCACACAGCTAATAAACTCACAAAACAGGATTTGAATCAGCCAGCTCTGGCTAACTCAAAACATCAACCAATTGTGCCACTATAGTAATAATAGCTATTTACTGAGTGAGCTCTAGCTAGCTAGCTATTGTAGTTATTGTAGGTTGAGAAATAAAGAAGGCAAGAGAATGACAAGGAAGACTGATCACTAACATGTACAATATGCTGTTTTCCTGCCTGCGGAGTCTCCCCACTTTCATTGCTGAATAATTCCTATTTATACTTAATGACTTAATGCAGATATCACTACCTCTATTTTCACTAGATGGTTCTCTTTTCTGTACTTACATTTACTATAGTATTTGTCATAATTAATTGTTATTCACTAGGTATTAACTTATAAACTCAAACTATCAGCTTCTTGGGAACTATGACTGTATCTTATCTCCTTAGCAAGAGGCAAATTGGACAGCCTCTTGAGCAAAGAATAATAACTGGTCACAGACTTGGTTGTCTCTTACATGGGATTCTAATATTGGGCTCCTTCATTTGGGGATGCAGTTACATACTCTAGTCATTTCACCATATCAAAAGTGGCAACTTATGGCTGAAAGTAACACTGCCCTTCTATAGTTATTTTTATTGAATTTTGAAGGTTTATGGGGGACCTAATATTCTTCATCATTCTATATTCAACATTTATAATACCATCCTGGCCTCTGTAAGTATTTGAGCATGCTACTTCTGCTCTAGATATTCTTCCATTAGCCTAACTATGAATTTGTATATTGGCCAAGCAATGGGTTAACTAATTTGGTTTAAATAAAATTTGGATTCAATCCCAGAATCATTCACTTATTTTTGACTGATTCATGCTCTTATATTTATGTTCCTCAACTATCATTATTACAAATGCAGGGACTTCATCAATATAATTTCCTTCTCAATAGTGAACAATAGTAATATAAAAAAAACAAGTAAACAAAACTGAACTGAATGTGCTGTATTGAAAATGATCTCCCTCTTTAGGACTGCCATCATATTATTACAGATTTACTCTGTCTTAAGTAAATATATCTGAGATTAAGTTACAAAGTAATATTATTTCAAATGATTGACATGCCTTAAAAATGAACACATTGTTTATAATTCAACGATCCCCCATTCTCTTGGAAGATAGAGTCTTTCAAACCCTTCTGTATTGGAGATAATGTTTTATATACCCCTGGTAAGACTCTGCTTTTTCAAAGGTAAACTGTTTATGTGTTAACATAAGGATGATAAGATTGTTCACTGCTGATTCGGTAAAGTTGAAACACAATGATGCTGTGGTGATGGTTGACATGAATGATTATTATGATTGTCAGTATGGTTTGTGAGCCATCCTTGTTTCCTGAAATTCAAGCTCTCATCAATAGTTAGGCCCATTTCAAGTTTAACTTAATTTTTTTCTTTAGTCATAATTCCAGTAACATTTTTTAAGAGCTAAGTTTTAATACCAGTTCATGTCCCGAGCTGGTGGAAAATTATGCTTGTCTTACAGAATACTGTAAATCTGAGAAAAATGTTAGGGTTTAACCAAAAGTGGTGTCCTTTCCTTTGAAACTGAAATTTTTCTTACATTTTATCAAGAACGAAGGCATATTAGATGTGGTAATACAATGTGTTAATTTTGAACTCGTGTATATATACATATATATAGAGAGAGAGAGAGAGAGAGAAAGAGAGAGAGAGAGTTGTTGTTAGAGTTGTATGTTTGAATGTGACATTTAAAATCTTTAAAGAAAATTGACAAAAAAAGCAAGTTTCTTCTGGCTTGATTGTGAATTATCATTTCTATCTACTGATAATATTCAGGTTTCAAATTAAACCATTTTCAAACTAAACCAATGTGTTCTTTAGCCCAATGCTTAGGATTCTTGTGTTTTTGTTCAGTTTCTCCAAGGTATGCCTTCTTTATGTAATGCTTTGGAGTTTGAAGCATGACCAAAATAATCATTATGATTCATGTCATATAACTACTTAAAAATAATAACTTTTTTCCTGTCTCCTAGAGAGAGGGTAGGCAGCTAAAAATGTACTACTTCTATGAAAGGCTCATGTGTAATGTAATAACATGGAGTCTGATTCTTCACTTATAGCTAAGCTTGGAAAGATATTAAATCCTTCAAAAATTTACGTAAGAAAAAATTCTTTTGGGGCTACATTTGTTGGGGAAGAGAGAGATTGAAGACATGAGGAACCTCCCAGTGTTTCTTACTGGTACTTAGTTAGTCATTCTGATTCACTGGTTTACAAGAGGACTGGAAGCAGGCCAAAATAAAACATTAAGAAAGTATTAATGTAATAAGGTTTAAATACCAGTTAGGAAAATAAAAGCTGTTTGAGTAAAGCGTTAGCTTTTAAGCATTTACCTATGCATAATCAAACGGGATCATGAAGATACAAAGACATTTTAAAATTAACTAGAGAATTATGGAATCATTTCAGGAAAATAAAATTGACTTCGTCACATATATATTATGTGTCTACTCAATATAAACCACCATGCTGACTAGTACAGGCACTACCTGGGATATAACTGGCACTATCACCAAAAGTGCCCTTTCTGACGTAATTTACAGTAGTTTACCTAGACATACATTACATCTATTTTACATATTTCATGAAAATATTGGTTTTATTTTATAGTTACAGGGTAATATATGAGGCTTTCAGCACAATTTGTTGGGAGTGATAGCATAGGACCCGTTTTTTATAAGCATGCTTCATATTTTATTTATGAGATCCCCTGTTGTGTAACATTTGTCTCACAGGTAGCCTTTCATCATGGTTAGAGTAAACAATGATGTGATGGGCATTCACTAAAAGTGTTGTGTTGAAAGGCAAACACATTACTGAAGATTTTTTTTTTTTTTTTAATACAGTGGCTACGTATATTCCAACACAGAGTCTACCAAATTTAAGTTTAATCTATCTGGAATTAATTTTGGTATTTGTTTTAAAACAAGGATCTTACTGCTTTTTTCTATAGTAAGAAAATTAACCTAGGAACAGTAGGAAGTTCTTGTTTCCTTTGGTGATCTGCAATGTCACCTTTAGACTAATTTAAATCCTGTACTTACTTGAATTTAAATTTGAATCAACCTGTCTATTCTTGTTCTCATACCACATCGTTTTAATTATTGTGGTTTCAAGCTTAGTTAATATTGAATGAATTAATTCACACACTAAAATAACATTTTAATTTTTTTTTATTCCCGATCCTTTTCCAGATGATGCAGAAGGTCAGAGAGGGATATGCTGGAGCCCATGCTTAATTCACAGCTGCTGTAACACCTACCAAATATAGCTATGTCACTTCTTGAAATAATTTCACCTGCTATATTCTAAAAGCATGCCGTTTGCTTTTCATAATGCACAGAAATTTTAAGCCTTGGTAGAAAGCTTTCTTTAGTCTATTCCGTGTAAGAACAAAAGTGGGAAGAGTAGTAAAACCTTATGCAAGTTTTCATCTTGTATTTCTTAATGTTGTTTGAAACATAAAGGTGATGTGACATGGTGGATAAGTGAAGCAGCATTTGAGTTTCAATTTAACTGCATCCTAGTGTGTGTGGCTTTGGTTAATCTTAACTTCTATGGGCCTCATTTCCCAGTAAAGTGGAAGTATCAATAGGTTCTTATAGGATAGAGTATTTCCAAGTAAGCACTCAAAGAAGGTAGTTATTCTTGTTGTTATTATGTGCCTCTAAATTCCCAAGTCATCATAGACAAGGGAAATATAGGTTATAGGACAACAATTATTCTTCTAAACATGAAAGATGGGTTTGATGGTGATGGACTCCTATTAGCAACAACAGAAAGAAGATAGGGAAAATTGTTGTTTTTCAAGTTGGACATTTATTTTCTGCTTTAAGAAAATCCATTATATAATCAATTCACAAGAGTGCAATTTTAAAGTATTTAAATGTGTGTCTTTGTGTGTTATAACAAAAAAGAAAATATGTAGTGGCTTGGTGGGGAGAAAAAAAGGACAAAAGGGTTAAGTGTGTTGAGTCTGTATCTGAAGTTTAAAAAACAAAGGGCAGATATTTCTGATATATTTAAGATATGTCATATTTTGACCTAAACTTTTACATTCAGAATCCTTGATGCAATTTTTCTAAGAGTGCAGGTGTTATGATTAAAATAAAAAAAAAGAAAAGATGAAAAAAGAAGGGAAAACAAGAAAAAGGAAAGAACAAAAAGAGGAATGCTTGCATATGTATTTGCCTGGGTAAATCAGGCTGGCCAGGCTTTCAATCAGGTCTCAGCTCCTGGTCTAGGCTGCCATATTTATAGGAGCTGGGACTTGGCATCTCTGCCCTACTTTGTCAACGAGTCTTCAAATCTCAGTCCCCTGAGCCTTGGGACAGCAGAGAAAGCAGCTGAGCTGCATGCTCTGCTTATGATGTGAAAAAATAAACCCTTGACCAAAGGCACTGGCTGCAAATTCACTAGTCCCGCCCCTAGCTCTGAGGAGCTCCTGTCAGCTTTGATTAGCTTTTCTGACTGCGAGATTATCCCGCTCTGTAAACTGTTCCGTCCCCTCGGCCCTCCTTGCTACTACTACAGTTGGCTCCCTTTATTGTTTGATGAGCTGTCACAGCTGGCTGATCAGACTGCCACCCAATCATCTTCCCTTTTACTCAGGCCCCTGACTGACCTTGTTCTGTCTTTGCCTTTCCTGTCCCTCTGATCCTCTGGCAGTTGAATCGCCTACCCCTGGTGGTTGATCCCACTGCTTGTCTAATCAGCCCATTAGACAGTTTGATTAGCTGCTCCTACCTCTCACCCTGCCAGCTCTTCCTGCGGCTACCAGCTGTGCTCAGGGCCTGCTAGTAACTAACCATCAATTCCTTCTGACCCTCCATTAGTGCTGCTGGCTGATCGCCTTAATACTTGTTCTCAGTAACTCTCTGATCTACTGTTGCCTCTCTCCACCTTAGTCTTCTGGTTAGCCTCTGATGTCTTTCTTTCTCTGTTCTATGAAAATTTCTTGCTATTAATTGAACCACTCTGGTATCCTGTGCCGGGCACTTTTTAGCCTTTGAGGTTAGATGGCTGTCTTTGGCAAGTGACATCATTTCAGTGCAGTCAAAGTTCAAGTGCCCACTTCACGGCTCCCCCGAGATGTCAACAGCTGCTGTTGCATCTGACTTAATATCGTGAGCTGTATCCATGATTCCATCACTCTTCCTGGGGTAGCCTGAATCCTAGCATTTTTTCACTAGGTGTTGAAGTATTTCCTGAGCATAATCTTCCTCCTGACCTTCGCTCTGAGTAATAATTATTTATGGTAGTCCCAGGGCCAGAGTGAAAACCTATTTGGATTCAAAGTCCATAGGTTCACCGTTTACCTGTGTGACCTTAGACAAGTGACTTAACCTCTCTTTGGGCCTTAATTTCTGAATTTCTAAATTTATTTCATGTATTCATTCAACTAATGGCTATTGAGTAACTAGTACAGTTAGTCATTGAGCTTAGAGTCTCCTGTAAACAGGACATTCAAGTTCCCTGAATACCTAGGGTTTACATACAAGAATGAAAGAATAAAACCACTAAACATATGAGAACACAGACAACAGAACTCCAAATGTGGCAAATGTTGTAAGAAAATACAGTAGGGTAATGGAATTGAAAAGGATGAGATGGAAGGGTTAATTTAGATGGACTAATTGAAAAAGGGATCTTTGAGAAGACAATATTTGAGCTAGTATCTGAAAGATTAGAGGAAGGCAGCCACGTGGGATTACCTAGGGAAAGGATGTAATGGGCAGATATAAACAAATGCAAAGGTCTCAACAAAGTTTTGTGTATCAGAGGGACATAGGAAAGCCACTGTGTCTAAAACATAGTGAATAACAGAGATTGCTATGAAGTAAAGTCAAAGAAGTAGGCAAGGGCCAGAACATATCAGCCCAGGAATGCTACAGTAAGGAGGATGGGTTTTATTCTAATTGTAACGGAAGTGTTAGTGGGGATCTAGTCTAAATAAGCACTGTCCAATAAAACTTTGTTATGATGAAAATGTTCTATATCTGTGCTATCTGATATAGATTCCATTCGACATTCAAAATAGAGACAGTGGGACTGAGGAACTACATATTTTATTATTTGTAATTTTAATAAAAATTAAATTAGTTTTAAATTAAAATTTCTAATCTAATAAAATTTTCTTTCGATAATTGAATTTAACCAATTTAATTAAAATCCATAATTTAATAACAATTAAAAATTAATTAAATGGCCAGGTGTGGCGGCTCACGCCGGTAACCCCAGAGCTTTGGGAGGCTGAGGTGGGCGGATCACTTCAGGTCAGGAGTTTGAGACCAGCCTGGCCAACACTGTGAAACCCTGTCTCCACTGAAAATACAAAAAGTACCTGTGTGTGATGGCGGGCACCTGTAATCCCAGCTACTTGGGAGGCTGAGGCAGGAGAATCGCTTGAACCAGGGAGGCAGAGGTTGCTGTGAGCTGAGTGTGTACCACGTTACTCCAGCCTGGGAGACCGAGTGAGACTCTGTCTCAAAAAAAAATTATAATAAATAAACGGTTAAATATAAATCACACTATGTGCTAGAGATGAGGACTACTCTAGAGAGTTAAGGGTTGCCTTAGATAAATAATTTTCAATATGTACCTCAGAATACTCTTGGTTCACGGAGGGTCCACCTCAAGGAGGCAATGAGTCAAAGAGAGTTGGATTTATGGCCCCCTCATTTTTTCTTAAGCTATGGAAGTTCTACTTTTCTCTGCTTTATTTATTGGGTTTTTCAAGAGATCTCATTTAGAAAAGTATAGGCTACTTAAAAACACTGGAAAGCACTCAACACTGGATTGACAACAGCGGTGATGTCAGAGTGATATAGATTTAATTAAGAGCTTGATCACTTGCTAACTTACAGAACATAAACAAAATATTTTACTTTATTTTTATTATCTGTAAAAAGAGATATAAATAGTAATACCAATGTTATAGGTCACCTGTGTTGATTAGATGATGTAATCCAGGCAGAGTGCTTAGCAGAATGCGAGACCTATATCATGTGCTCAGCAGATATTAACCTCCACAGTTACTGTTATTCTGAGGTTAATCAGTCCAGAGGGTTTGTGCCCCTAGTCATATATAACTGGAAAGTCAGCTAGCTTGATAATCTAGCTATAATATATAATATAATATAATATAATATAATATAATATAATATAATATAATATAATACAATACAATACAATATAATATAATATAATATAATATAATATATTAGCTAAACCTTACTATTACCTTATTCAAGGTCATACAACTATGAAGAGTGTGAGTTGAGATTTGAATTTAGTTTACTGTGATTCTAGCATTAGTGATACTAACCACTGAGCATTCATCTGTAAAATATAACTTCAGAGTTATACCGTAAACATATTCTTTAAATCAATACATTTTTTTTTGTTTCTGAGACGGAATTGTTGCCCAGGCTGGAGTGCAATGGCATGATCTCAGCTCACCACAGCCTCTGCCTTCCGGGTTCAAGTGATTCTCCTGCCTCAGTCTCCCGAGTAGCTGGGATTACTGGCATGCACCGTCATGCACAGCTAATTTTGTATTTTTAGTTGAGATGGGATTTCACCATGTTGGCCAGGCTTGTCTTGAGCTCCTGACCTCAGATGATCCACCTGCCTCGGCCTCCCAAACTGCTGGGATTACAGGCGTGAGCCACCATGCCTGGCCAAATCAATAAATATTTAATCCAGTAAAGGCAAATTGCAAAGGAAGCATGGTGAATAGTTATGAGAGGATTCTAATAATAATGAGAGGCTACTGCTATTTTAGTAATTTAAGCTCCTTTCAAATGATTGCAAAGAAACAACTGCTCTATATTATATTCTAGAATTTAGTGCAAAAATGCTCAGCTGGGGCTATGACAGTTGTCTTCAGACAATTCTGATGTTTACCTCCCACTAAGAATCCCTGCTACTCTTGTTGATTGGATAGGTAGCTTACAGGAGCATTCATTTGTTCAATCATACCATAACTCTATCACATGAATACTATTATTATTTCTATTTTATGTTAAATAAAGATAATACCTTAAAAGGTTAAGCAACCCATTTAAGGTCACATAGCTAGGAAGTATTTGACCTAGCATTTGAATGCAGTGACTGTGTGGGAGAACAAACTCTGGAGCTAGAGAGAGGAGTCAGTGTCTTAACTTATACAATGCAAACATGTATTGTCATATGGATTGTAATTAAATTAGTCAAATTCAATTATCGAAAAAAAAACTTAACCTGTTAAGTGATTGCAATAATTAAATAGGATCATGTGGTAAAACCCTTTCTGGTATTTTTGAACTGAAATTTCAAATTGCATAGAAGTTACCCTTTCTCTAGAAATAACCGGTTAATTGGAAAGTGTGCAAAGCAGAGAGTGACAGAATTGATGTATCTCTAAAGCTGATGGAATAGGCAAGCTATTCAATGGGGTCCCTTGTCCTGGACTCTGCTTCTTGGTTTGTAAAGGGTTGATACACTCAGGAGAGAAAACATCTTACTTATGACCACCCTCAATTGCCAACATAAGCTAAGTTGAGCTTTTACGACTTAAGCAGTTGCATCAATACTATTAATCCCAACAAAAATCTTAACAAATCCAGATTATATAATATACAAAACTCCCCAGCCTTTAACTGGGTTTCTGTTAAACCCTGACAATTTAGAACACAGAGCACTTAACAAAAAAGGTAATTCATAATAGCTCAAGCTTAAAAACAAAAACTGACACCCTTAAACAAAGCGTTCTTTTTTGATATTTATTTCATGAATACTTGTTGAAGCCCCCAGGTATCAAATAGTTCTGTTAGGTGCTCGAGATACAGAACAGAGCAGATGAAGTTCCTATATTCATGAAATGTACATTACAATAGGTCAGATGAACAGTAAACAAAAAAGTAAAAGTATTACTAATATATAGTAATGATTAATTATAGGAAGCAAACTACAGCATTGTAAGTGGTTATATGGTAAGGGTATTTTGGACAGGGAAGTCAGAGAAAGTTGCTCTTAGGAAATGGCCTTTGCCTGAGGATTTGATGAAGTGAGGAAATTGCTGTATGAACTTCTGGGAGAGGATCTTTCAAGGTATAGGATAGACAGAGGGTGAAGGAGTTTTAAGGAGGAATGAACTTGGGCATTTGATTGAAAATAAAGAAGCCAGTGTGCCTGGAGCCCAGTGAGCTGGGTGAAGAATAGCAGGAGACAGCATTGGGGAAATAGATGTTCTTGTAAACCATGATGAGGGCTTTAGATTACTGTCTTCTTGGAGGGCTTTGAGTAAGAGGAATGACATGATTAGATTTACATGATGAAAACATTATTTTGTTGCTAGATGAAAAGTAACTGCAGGGAGGCAAATGTGGGAGCAAGGAAATTAGTTAGAAGGTTATTATATTAGGCTTGTCTAAAAAAGAAGATGGTTTGGACTAGAAGGGAGCTGTGACAGTGATGAAAAGTGGTCAGATTTCAGATATATCTTGAAAGTAGTGAACACAGAACTTACTGATGGATTACAAGTGGTTGTGAAAAAAAGGGGAATCTAGAAATAGTTCACTAAATGAATATAGCAAATGAAAACTTACTGAAGAGGCCTTTCCAGGGATTACTTTAAGCACTTTGCACAGAACATGGAGTTGAACAAATAAAAATTTCTAATAAGTGTTAGGAGTGATTTTTATTTTTATTAGCATTACTTCACAAGTATGTATTAAACCCCAAATAGGTGAATGTGTCAGGTGCTATTCTCTTTCCTACAATAAACACAAATATCAAAAACCAGCTTACCTCATGATGTTTATACAGCGGTTAGCAGCTCTTCTCATGCTTCTGTGAGTCTCTTTCTTAACAGTTTACTTTTTGCAGCAAACATCTTACATATTTTACCTGTTCCTCTTTAATCTTATTTTTATCCTAGGCTTGTTTCTAAATCCACCATATTCATTATTTCTACTATATTCAAACACTTTTGTTGTTTATGGAAGCTTTGATTTATATAAAGTTATCCTCTGCTACATTTAATATTCTTTCCACCAATTTGACATATCAATCATGTTACATTAATTCAATAAAATATTATACATCCATTAAAAAGAATAAAGTAGATTAATATAAACTAACATACATAGATATTTTAAGTTAAAGAAGAGAAAGAGGAAACATAAAATAATAAAATATAAATATGAATACTGTAAAATAAAGAATAAGGCTGGATGCGGTGGCTCATGCCTGAAATCACAGCACTTT
Organism: Homo sapiens; assembly: GCF_000001405.40. Taxonomy (NCBI): domain Eukaryota; kingdom Metazoa; phylum Chordata; class Mammalia; order Primates; family Hominidae; genus Homo; species Homo sapiens. Next base: position 66,934 of record NW_003315919.1, read on the forward strand.
GGGAGGCTAAGGTGGGAAGATGGCTTGAGGCCAGGAGATTAAGACCGACCAGGACAACATAGTGAGATCCAATATCCACATTTTAAATTAGCTGGATGTGGTGGGCACACTGGTAGTCCCAGATACTCAAGAGGTTGAGGTAGGAGGATCACTTGAGCCCAGGAGTTGGAGACTACAGTGAGCTATGATTGGGCCAGTGCTCTCTAGCCTGGATGACAGAGTGAGACCCTGCCTCAAAAAAATTTTTTAAATAATAAAATAAATAAAGAATAATTAATCTGACTTCCATATCTATCAAAATAGGCCAGATTATAATTGGAAATCAACAACCTCAAAATCTCAGTACATTGAAACAATAGTCTAGTTCTTTCTCATGCCTCATATCCATCACAGAGTGCTAGGGAATGCTACACTTTGTTGTCCTCACTACAAGGACTAGGGCCTATGGGGCAGGGGATTAAAGAAAACATTCCATTTATTTTCAACTATATATTTCTCTTTAATTTGACATATACCAAGGAAAACAACATTCAGGAAATATTTTGCTATTGAAAAATATTTTAGTGGTGTTTTAGACATGAGGTCCTTGCCCATGCCTATGTCCTGAATGGTATTGCCTAGGTTTTCTTCTAGGGTTTTTATGGTTTTAGGTCTAACATTTAAGTCTTTAATCCATCTTGAATTAATTTTTGTATAAGGTGTAAGGAAGGGATCCAGTTTCAGCTTTCTACATATGGCTAGCCAGTTTTCCCAGCACCATTTATTATAAAGGGAATCCTTTCCCCATTGCTTGTTTTTGTCAGGTTTGTCAAAGATCAGATAGTTGTAGATATGCGGCATTATTTCTGAGGGCTCTGTTCTGTTCCATTGGTGTATATCTCTGTTTTTGTACCAGTACCATGCTGTTTTGGTTACTGTAGCCTTGTAGTACAGTTTGAAGTCAGGTAGCCTGATGCCTCCAGCTTTGTTCTTTTGCTTAGGATTGACTTGGTGATGCGGGCTCTTTTTTGGTTCTGTATGAACTTTAAAGTAGTTTTTTCCAATTCTGTGAAGAAAGTCATTGGTAGCTTGATGGGGATGGCATTGAATCTATAAATTACCTTGGGCAGTATGGCCATTTTCACGATATTGATTCTTCCTACCCATGAGCATGGATTGTTCTTCCATTTGTTTGTATCCTCTTTTATTTCATTGAGCAGTGGTTTGTAGTTCTCCTTGAAGAGGTCCTTCACATCCCTTGTAAGTTGGATTCCTAGGTATTTTATTCTCTTTGAAGCAATTGTGAATGGGAGTTCACTCATGATTTGGCTCTCTGTTTGTCTGTTATTGGTGTATAAGAATGCTTGTGATTTTTGCACATTGATTTTGTATCCTGAGACTTTGCTGAATTTGCTTATCAGCTTAAGGAGATTTTGGGCTGAGATGATGGGGTTTTCTAGATATACAATCATGTCATCTGCAAACAGGGACAATTTGACTTCCTCTTTTCCTAATTGAATACCCTTTATTTCCTTCTCCTGCCCGATTGCCCTGGCCAGAACTTCCAACACTATGTTGAATAGGAGTGGTGAGAGAGGGCATCCCTGTCTTGTGCCAGTTTTCAAAGGGAATGCTTCCAGTTTTTGCCCATTCAGTATGATATTGGCTGTGGGTTTGTCATAGATAGCTCTTATTATTTTGAGATACGTCCCATCAGTACCTAATTTATTGAGAGTTTTTAGCATGAAGAGTTGTTGAATATTGTCAAAGGCCTTTTCTGCATCTATTGAGATAATCATCTGGTTTTTGTCATTGGTTCTGTTTATATGCTGGATTACATTTATTGATTTGCTTATGTTGATCCAGCCTTGCATCCCAGGGATGAAGCCCACTTGATCATGGTGGATAAGCTTTTTGATGTGTTGCTGGATTCAGTCTGCCAGTATTTTATTGAGGATTTTTGCATCGATGTTCATCAGGGATATGGTTCTCAAATTCTCTTTTTTTGTTGTGTCCCTGCCAGGCTTTGGTATCAGGATGATGCTGGCCTCATATAATGAGTTAGGGAGGATTCCCTCTTTTTCTATTGATTGGAATGGTTTCAGAAGGAATGGTACCAGCTGCTCCTTGGACCTCTGGTAGAATTTGGCTGTGAATCCATCGGGTCCTGACTTTTTGGTTGGTAAGCTATTAATTATTGCCTCAATTTCAGAGCCTGTTAAAAATATGGAACTCTTCACAAATTTGCATGTCATCCTTGCGCAGGGGCCATGCTAATCTTCTCTGTATTGTTCCAAAGCAATGGCAACAAAAGCCAAAATTGACAAAAGGGATCTGATTAAACTAAAGAGCTTCTGCACAGCAAAAGAAACTACCATCAGAGTGAACAGGCAACCTACAGAATGGGAGAAAATTTTTGCAATCTACTCATCTGACAAAGGGCTAATGTCCAGAATCTACAATGAACTCAAACAAATTTACAAGAAAAAAACAAACAACCCCATCAACAAGTGGGCAAAGGATATGAACACACACTTCTCAAAAGAAGACATTTATACAGCCAAAAGACACATGAAAAAATGCTCATCATCACTGGCCATCAGAGAAATGCAAATCAAAACCACAATGAGATACCATCTCACACCAGTTAGAATGGCAATCATTAAAAAAGTCAGGAAACAACAGGTGCTGGAGAGGATGTGGGGAAATAGGAACACTTTTACACTGTTGATGGAACCATGAACTAGTTCAACCATTGTGGAAGTCAGTGTGGCGATTCCTCAGGGATCTAGAACTAGAAATACCATTTGACCCAGCCATCCCATTACTGGGTATATACCCAAACTAATATAAATCATGCTGCTATAAAGACACATGCACACGTATGTTTATAGCGGCACTATTCACAATAGCAAAGACTTGGAACCAACCCAAATGTCCAACAATGATAGACTGGATTAAAAAAATGTGGCACATATACACCATGGAATACTATGCCGCCATAAAAAACGATGAGTTCATGTCCTTTGTAGGGACATGGATGAAGCTGGAAACCATCATTCTCAGCAAACTATCACAAGGACAAAAAACCAAACACCACATGTTCTCACTCATAGGTGGGAATTGAACAATGAGAACACTTGGACACAGGAAGGGGAACATCACACACCGGGGCCTGTTGTGGGTTGGGGGGAGGGGGGAGGGGGGAGGGATAGTATTAGGAGATATACCTAATGTTAAAGGACGAGTTAATGGGCGCAGCACACCAACATGGCACACGTATACATATGTAACAAACCTGCACGTTGTGCACATGTACCCTAAAACTTAAAGTATAATAAAAAAAGAAAAATATTTTTCTAAGCATTTAGCAAAGATTATATCTAAAAGTTGTATAAAATAAGCTTTTTAAATTATGTTTTTGTCTTCTTTACATTTATTTTCTCTATTAAAAATAATAAGGCTGGGCGTGGTGGCTCATGTCTGTAATCCTAGCACTTTGGGAGCCTGGAGCCCAGGAGTTCAAGACCAGCCTGGGCAATATGGCGAAAATAAAAAATACAAAAATTAGCCAGGTATGGTGGCACACACCTGTAGTCCCAGCTACTCAGGAGGCTGAAGTGGGAGGATCACTTGAGCTTGGTAGGCAGAGGTTACAGTGGGCCAAGATAGTGACACTGCACTCCAGTCTGGACAACTGAGTGAGATCATGTTTAATCATCATCATCATTATCATCATCATCATCATCATCAATGTTATATATTATTTAAAGAGTAATTCAATGGTTTAACATTATGATGAATGTTTGTGGCACACTGAATGTTTATAAGGACCAAGCCAATTTTTTTTTTCCCTATACAAGCTTTACTTTCCCATTGAGTTTTTGAGAAAAAAAGATCGATTGCCTTAATTTTCAAGCAAGTGTCCCTCAAAAAGAAGTGAGAACTTAAAAATAATGTTTCTTTTATGGCATCTAGCAAAATACTCTTCTCTTCTTCCTCAGCTGCAAAAGGGTCCTAATGTGGCTAATGCTAATATTCATGAAGATGAAAGATACGTTTTTCTAGTCCTTTCAGTTGGTAAAGGCTGTATATATTTCATTTTCTGAATATGAGAAGAAAGTTTAGAGATAATAACGTAGTTATTAGCCCTCCTCTCTTAAAGAGTTAATAGAACAGGAGAGTCAACATATGCAGTGGAATAAATGAATAATAAATCCAATTATTTTTATATATACATACATGGCATATATGTATATATGAAATTAAATATATATTTTTATATATACATATATGCCATGTATGTATATATATAAATATAATTGGATTTTTATATTATATATGTATATATTATATATACATATATGGCATATAGGTATAAATAATAACAATTTGACTTATTAATTCGTTCAGTTCTTACTGTTAGAAAAGGTTCATTTTTAACCCCAGAAGACTGCACCCTGCCTATCAGAGAAAGTAGGTCAAATATTCACTTTTGAGGCTATGTAGAGATAAAACTGCTAAATAGGTAAAACGCAGATAGAAAGCTCTCCATGATGCTTTTTCCTTATGATGTTTGGGAGTTGCTGATGACCAAACTCTTTAAAGAAATTACTGGATGCCCAAAGGCCTCTGAAAAACACAGGAACCTTGAGAGGAACAGAGTTTGTTGTCTGGGGAATTCTGAAAGCTCTATTAAAATAGGCCTAAAACAGCCATTGGCATAAACAAGGTGTCACTGGGATTTTCAGTCTTTATTCCTTTTTTTTTTTTCCTGAGTCATCTGTCAGACTGGCAAAGCTGTAAAATTTTATCTTTTCAGTACTTTTGATTCTCTCCCTACCTTCCATTTTTTCTTGTTGCCTGACTACATATATTGGCTCTCCTTTTCTATTAACTCTTTAAGAGAGGAGGGGTAATAACTACATTATTACCTCTAAACTTTCTTCTCATATTCAGAAAATATTGTATATTGCTTATTTTAAAAAATGTTGAGAATATATATTACTTACCAAATAAAACATGGTTTGATTCTGAATTTACAAATTGAAATTTTTTTGTTATTTTAACATGCCATTCTTCTTAATATAACCCATACATTGGATTTATTATTCATTTTCAGCAAAATTAAATGACTGGATTCACCCTAGACTACTTAATGTTTCAGGGAAACTGCATTGAGCTCTATGTGCTGCATATTGTTGAACTCAATGCTTGGGGTACAAGGACCAGTAAGATGTAGTTTTACACTTGGAAGAATAATGTTTGAGTAGGGAAATATAGATAAAGAAGCCAAATGTAAAAAAAAGTGCTACATTGTAAAATAAAGTAGAGTATAATCTTGAAAGTTCAGGGAAACCTTCCTACATATATGAACCTGGAACTGACTGGGTTTTAGAGAACAAAAAGATTTCAGACAAAAAGTATCATCCAGAATTATTGACCATAAATCTTGACATCTAATTATCTCTCCCACACCCACTCATGGGCATAAATGAATAAACTACATTGAATACCTTTTCAGACATTTTGTCATAATACTTATCATCAATCTTTTCAAAACTTTATTGTTTTCTTTAACTCCTTCTTCTGAATTACATTAGAAACTTTTCAGTACAAAAGCTCTTCAATAAGTCCAGTTTACATTTTTCATTCATATTCCACTGGTGTTTACAAAATGTCTTTTAGAAGCTTGAAACACTTTCAAAGGGACCAGTGGGAAATAGCTGTTTCACACTTGATTTATCATCACCACAAGTTCATTATTAACTCCAGAACACTGCACTCTGCCTATTAAAGTAGGTCAAAGATTCACTTTCTACAAGGATATGTAGGGATAAAACTGCTAAATATGTAAAACATAGACTGAAAGCTCTCCATCTTCCCTTTAGTCAAGGCTTCTATGTGATAATGATTATTTGAGGTTGCAAACAGGACACAAGGTTGTGGCAGAAGTAATTCATAGGGATTGGATGGGGCAAATAAATTGGAGGAGTATTTTTTACATATTAGTGTTCTTTTGTCATTCGATCTATTCAACAAATGTTTTTTGATTATCTGTGTGCATATTACCAATATCCGGTCTAGGTGATAGAAATAAAACATTGAACAAGACAGACAAATTTGTCTTCTTGTGGGATTTGTATTTTAGCCATTTAAAAATTACAGCAAATTAAATTTAAAAAGTAACATGACTTCCGAAGATTAGTATAAAATGATATACATGTAGAGTGGAGAAATTTTTTTTACTGTAATGGCTAGGTAGAATAAATATTTGCTTAAAATTTTGTATAGTATTCACTCCCTTCCTCCTATAGAGGAGCAATTCTGCATTTCATATAGTTTTAGTGAGAGATTGTACTCCACATTCTAGTCTGGAAGCTAAAAGGATCAGATCCTCTCTTACTTCAATTTGACAGAGCCAGGGCTCAAAAATGTGAATTAGTTTAGTTAATTAGATAGTCCTGTTTGCAATTTTTAATCTTGATCAAAGGATGCAAAGATGTGGTAGGATACTTTTAGGAGTCATTCACTACATCAACTACAGCAATGATGCCCAAACTTTTCCTCTTAGGAAGAAACAGACTGTGTTTTCTGTTCCAAAGCTGTTTGACCTAACTTACATCTTTGTTTTCTAAGCCTGCATCTCCAAACTCCCACTAGCTCTGTGAATTCATAGTATTGCTCAAATAGATATCCATCTGTGAAGCAGGTCCACTGTGTACTGGTTACTAACTTGTCTGATTTGGTGAGACAGAACACCCACACACAAAACAAGTTACATGAGGCAGATTTATTATCTAACTGAGAGGCAACAAGTGACAATAAAAGCCTAGGATTCAGGGCATGCCAGTCCCCCAAGGCTCAGGAAAGCTGCCCAGGTTGGATGGAGTCTTGTTTGAATGTACTGCACTTGCACTGCAGCTACAGGACCCTGGAAATCATCCCACCCTAGGTTTTATACGAGGGGAAGGAAAACATGACCCACTGGACTAAAACATTGAAGAGCAACTTGTTCCTAGGAGGAACTGGAACAGAGCCCTGGCTGTTCTAGTAAGTTCCTCCCTATCTTAGTGTGTCCAGAATTTAATCCTTCTGGTGGAATCTTGGTCTCCCTGACTTCAAGAATGAAGCTGTGGACCTCACGGTGAGTGTTACAGCTCTTAAAGGTGGTGCGTCCAGAGTTATTTGTTCCTCCCAGTGGGTTCGTGATCTCGCTGACTTCAGGAATGAAACTGCAGACCCTCGTGGTGACTGTTAACAGCTCTTAAAGTTGGTGCAGACCCAAAGAGTGAGCAGCAGCAAGATTTATTGTGAAGAGGGAAAGAACAAACCTTTCAAAGCAGGAAAGGGGACTTAAGCGGGTTGCTGCTGCTGGCTGGTGTGGCCAGCTGTTATTTCCTTATTTGTCCCTGCCCATGTCCTGCTGATTGGTCCATTTTACAGAGCGCTGATTGGTCTATTTTACAGAGTGCTGATTGGTGTGTTTACAGTCGTTTAGCTAGACATAGAGCACTGATTGGTGCATTTTTACAGAGTGCTGATTGGTGCATTTACAATCCTATAGCGAGACACAGAGCGCTGATTGGTGCGTTTTTATAGAGTGCTGATTGGTGCATTTACAATCCTTTAGCTAGGTACAGAGCACTGATTGGTGCATTTACAGTCTTCTAGCTAGACAGAAAAGTTCTCCAAGTCCCCACTTGACCCAGGAAGTCCAGCTGGCCTCACCTCTCATTAAGATGTTACATCCTCAGAACATTCTACAGTTGTACTTAAGAACTACAAACAGGAAAGGGTGAGAAACTGGGTGAGTCCAAGGTCACCCAGAGAACTGTTCTGCAGTTTACCACTGATCCAGATGGCCCCCCTTAGCAAAGTTCTTCCATTTCCTATGCCCAATGACTTCCCCAGATTTGGAGTTGAAGATTGGTCTTGTCAGATTGATGTAACACCTGCACTGACATAATCTCTTTGCAACATCATTGAGCCATCGGCAGTATACATTTCACTAGGCCCAGGAGTACATTTGACTATCCATAAGCAAGGTGCTCAGGCCTGCCCAGAGCAGTGACCTAACACAGGATCCCAGTGATCCAGGTAAGAGGTTACTAAAGTTGTCAAAAAAAGATCCTTCCAGTGGTCCCACTGTCTGCAGCCAGTGTACCTGCCTCTGTACCTCCTCTACTTGTGCTTCTACAATAACTGAAATTTATCTAGGTACAGCAGAAGGTGTTGGCAATTTCATATACTCTTCCAAGTTGGGCTAAATAGATCTAGATCCATTCTGTTGCCTAAAACAATCTTCCCAAGGAAGTTGGGGATGTCTGTTAGGCTGGCAAGGCAGTGGCTGTGGAAGAAGCAATATTTACTATGGTCAGAAATAGGTTTTGTATAATTTTTTCATGAGCACGGACTCCTGTATCTGGTATCAAAGAGCTCACAAAGGGCATGAACCCAGAGCCAGTTAGTAAGCCTGCCAGGCCAGTGGTGCATCTCATTTCCAGGGGTGATATCCAGGAGCACTTCCAGCATGCAGGATCCCACCATCCATCAGGCATGACATTGCTCATCCTATATTTGAGTCACCAATGAACCACTGAACCACCTGCAGAGAAAGATGTAACTTTCAGGTGTACAGAGCAACCCTTCTCTCACTTTATTGTTCAGTGACACATTCATGGGTACGAAGGCATTGGAATTCGCCAGCCAAGTCTTGAGTTAGTTACATGAACTTGGTTTTCTTAAAATATTGTCCATTAAGCCCCTACACAGAGGGCTAACAACAGTTCAGTCCTTGTTTTCATTTTCACCACTGGGACACTTCTTGTTCAGGTGATCAAATGAGCATAAAGTGTCAAAGTGCAAGCCTACCAAAGTTTTCTCAGTTATAGCTGTGACATTTTGGCATTGAGTCAGTTAAGTTAAAACAGAGCACCTCTGATTCTCTTCCATGTGGTGGATGCCAAATCCACATTGAAGCGTGCGCTGTGGCATTAGGAATGTGTGTGTAGTTTACCACTGACAGGATGAGAAGTTGCTGTTGTCTGTAACAGAGTAAGGTCTAACCCTTAGTCAGGCTACCCAAGGTGGCTGCTGCCTGGGAGAGCCTAATGAAAGTGTTGTGCTTCCAGGCCTCTGCTGCCACATCCTTGTAAAATAAAACAGATTTACAGATGAGTGCCCTACATTTCACCCCTCTTGGGGTTTTAGGTGTTTCTACTTAATGGATAGGGTTTGGGCTGGGTAGACATATTATCCAATTTTGTCTGTCCCAGTCCCCAGGTGATGACAACTGCAGGTACTAATTGTCCTTCTTGCTTGAGCCAGAACATTAAAACAGCTCTCCAGTTCAGGAAGGGAAGTCACATCCTGTACAAACATCACGTTTGGTAATGCTGCCCACTTGACTGAAGGTTTTAGATTTCCCCAGTGTCCCTAGAGAGTCCTGGCACTCTGGTATTCCTTGGTTCCATCCAATAACCCTGTGGGATCCCATAGAGAGCAGTGACCCAAGGGAGGCATTGTTTTCAGATAAGACTTAGGGGTCCTGTCTGGGGTATTACGGTGGCCTGAACTGCAAACTGCCCCCCAGGACATGTACTCTAAAGGAAAAAAAGAAAGAAATGGTTGGGAACACTGAGATTGGGATTTGCAGATGTAGCCTAATCAAGCATCTGGCTGGTTACCTCTACCCCGACTAAGGCCATTGTTTCTCAATGGGTGCTGCAGTGCCATGTTTCCCTCACATCATAGTGCAGAGTTTAGTGTCCATACTACTCTAGTCAGATGGGGAACCACCCCACTAGCAGGACATCTTGATGCTCTTTCTTCAGTTGCTTTGCAAGTCGGATCACAAGCTCTCTTCCAGGGAGGAGATGGTAGGCCTCGCATTCATATGAGTGATACACATTTGTCCTTTCCAGGCAGCAAGTTATTGTCATAGCCCTTGTCCCCATATAGGGGATCCATTGATAGTCCAATCACTCAGTTGCTGTTCTCTTGACCACATGGCTAGGTTGTAGATAAAGGCCCATACATTGGTGAAAATGTAGCAAGATAGGCTGGTAAGTGGTGGCCTGCGTGGCCATCAGTGGTGCATGTAGTTTGACCCTTGGGGCAGAATGTTCATGTTCAGCCTCAGTAAAAATATGGCCATTCACTCACCAGATGGGGGCTGCAGTCCTGTGGACCCTGTCTGCTTTTAGTTTTGTAGGGGCATCAGTGAATCATGCCATACCATCAGTAGGCAAAGGAGGAGCCAAAGCATCTCCTGAGGGTCACTTTCTAGCATTCTAGAAAGCTAGCCATTTATTCATGGAGCCCACTGCTTCCCCGGAATTCTAGCTCAAGCCAACCTTAAATGTATGCTTTCCATTTGATAAGTAGGCTCTGCCAAGCCTGTCCAATTTTACTGGTGAGGTTTGTAGGCAAACACATAAAAATAGGCAGTTCCTATTGCAGCAATCACATGTGGCATTCTGGCCATAAAACATTCTCTTTTTATCAATGCCCAATAGTGAGCAAGGAGCTGCCATTCAAAAAGGGAGTATATCTGTTGGCTATATCAGGAAACTTATAAAGTGCTACGGCAGCCCAATGGCAGTTTTCTGTTGCCCCAGATGACAATCAGTATGCACACAAGTTGCAGACTTCTGTAATTCCAATGGGCTAGCAGGCTCTGAAAGTTGCAAAGGCAGTGCCTGGGCCACAACTTTTTGAATGGTTTCTCAGTCCTGCTATTTCAAAGCCTTTCAAAGTTGATGGCTTTGTTGGCCACTTTGATTATGATGACCAAAAGAACACTAAGGTGGGGTACACCATCTTCAGTACCCAGAGGCCTCTTGGCTGCTGGCCTCCATTTTACTTAGCTGGTGCCACCAAAGCCAATAGTATTTTCTTAACTGTATCTGAATATTCATTTGGCTTCCCATCTAACTGGCCCTGGCATTCATCCTGTAATAGTCTTAATGTTCTAGAGGTCTTTTTGAGCAGCCCAACTGTAGTGTTACTTTGTGACATGGTGGTTTGTAATATTTTTGTTTATAGCAATTCCTCAGTTAACCAGGTAATGTGCTACTCTCTACTTAGTATGGAATACCACTTTAGCTGAATAACTCATTTGGACTTGGGTAGTTTAGGTGGCAGGCAGGAGTAGATATGCCCCACTGTTATGGCATGAATTTTTAGCTAAGAGGGGTCATACCTCTGCAGGTGGCAGTGATATTCTGCACCACAAATCGTCAAAATGTCAATGTCTATAATGCACTGAGTGGGGGAACCATGCTCATCGGTACCTGAAATGCCCCAAAAGGCCTGACCCATAAGCACATAAGCAACATGGGTGACCTCATTTGTCTCAAAACCTCCTAATGTCATCAGCTTAATGTTTTTCTCTTTTCCCTTTAATCCTGACAGGAGTAAAGGCCACTGGCCTCCAGTGGGGACCCTATTTCTAACTGCACTATTTGGCCCTATCACTAATTACACCATTAAATTTGAGACATTTGGGCCTGCAATGTCCCTTTGTCAAACAAACACACCAACCAAGCTGCCTAAGACTTGCCTGGCTTTTCCTCATATTTGTCCTTTAGATCACAAGTCTCCGTTTCTGTGAAGGCTCAAATTGCACATGTTGGTTCCCTCTCAAATGCCTCAGGGTCCTTATGAGCATTTACTTTTTGAGCCCTCTGGTCCCAGGAATGAGTGATCACATACATGTCTGACAACCAGAGAACTGTATTCTGTGCTTCCCCGTTTCCATATTCCTTTTTCTTTGCCTCAATCCATGCAGCCAATTCGTTCACATCCATTGGGAGTGACCTACGTCCCATTTATTGAGCTTCCTTTCCCATAACTCATCCAGCTGCATGTCTGGTCCCTACATCCCTAGGCTGACATTTTTTCTTGGGTCAGGTCCTGGGGGTTATTGTCTTTTCAGCTTCACCAGGAAGCCATGATTCTATCAAGGAGGACACTGCTCACTGCACCATCTTTGTGAAGCAAGGTCACTGTGCACTAGGTACTAACTTCTCTAAGTCTAGTGAGACAGAACACACCCACACATAACAAGTTAATGAAGCTGATTGGACTTATTACAAACAGATTGGCAGCAAGGAACAACAGAGGCCTAGGATTCAGAGCCAGCCAGTCTTCCAAGGCCAAGGGAGTCTGCCATGGTGGATGGTATTTCCTCAGTGTATGTCTCACTTGCACCAGAGCTGAGGAACCCCAGAAACCATCCCAGCCCAGGTTTTATAACAGAGGGCAACATGCCATCCTGGGCTAACATGCAAAAGCAGACCCTTTTTCTAGTAGGGACTGGAACAGAGCCTAAATTGTTCTGGCCAGTTCTTCTCTATTTTAGGATATTGCATTCCCAGCACATTCCATAGTTACTCTTGACATCTACAAATGTGAAAAAGGAGAAAACTGGGTCCGTTCAAGATCACTTAGAGAAATGTCCAGCACCACCCTTTTGCATGGAGCTGCCAGAGCTGGTTTCTGTGGCTTGCTGTGCTCATATCTTAACTATACAGTAGATTTGAGTAATTCAGTGATTTAAAATACATTTCAGCATATCGATTCCTGGTGACTGGAATTACATCTTATTAGTTCTGCTATATTTTGACATACCTGTATCTCCCTCAGAAACCCTGATATTTAATCCAAATAACTTACTTTTTTTTTATCTCCAAGAAGTTATATACCGAGAAAGATAATTTAGATAACAAGAGGTTTTGACATGAAAACTTGAAGATATGTTTTCATTTCCATAGAAGGTCATGATGTAATAATGCCTTTGCTCTTCTTTCTATAATCTGTAGTTTCAAAAATAGACATTGTGTAGATTTGTCTGAGAATTAACTAGGTTGGTTCTACACCTTCAGCAGTTTTTTAAACTGTTTATGAAGAAAGTGTACGTATACATAAACAAATTTATTTAGGCAACTTGTTGGTATTTTATCAGTGGTAAAAACTTTGGAATTTATATTATACTATACCTTATGTAGTATATTATACATATTTATAGTACATATATATTATTGTATTATATTCTAGATATAATTTATTTACTATAATTATATTATGCTATGTACATTAATATTAAAGTACAAGTTTGTTAAGAACTGTAACTACTAAGTAGCTTATATTCTACAGATAATGGATTATTTAATTTTCCTTTCATCATATGTATGTAGCCAGCAATTTTGGTACAACTTTCTGGTAGTCCTTGCTGACAATATGTGCTCTAGAAAGTATGCAAAAAATGAAAGACTTGTGCAATGTCTTTGAGGAATTTAAGTGTTTTCCAGTTTTCTCAAAGTCATGGCAAGGGATGTTTCAGAATGAAAGATTACCTTGTATGTGTGTATATTTATATTTAAACAGTATAATTAAAAATATATGTATGTTGCCTTCTGGACTAGCAATCTCTATATTGGAAAATATTTTTTGACCTTTTATAAAGCAATTGACATATTATGATGTATGATTTAGTTTGAAATAATGCAAAGGTCATTTTCTTGTTCATATTTGACGGAAGAGAGGTGGAGTTTTAGAAACAAAGGCATTTTGTGGCATTAAGCAGAAAATCAATATAGTAATTATTCTTTTAGCCAGAATGTTTACCTTATATTTCCTAATTCTTGCTCAGTTCCTTTGTGCACTAAGGGAATACAATCACAAACTGAAGATGTGTGGTTCATCTGTAAGGAAATGTGGTCTTGTGGTTGTTGATAAATAAGAAAGAAAAAATAACTCAGAGGTACTTATCTGCTAGATTGGAACAATTATTATCGGGAGTACAATGGAAGGGAAGATTGTGGAATTGGGATATTAATGATGTACCCCATTGGGTTTATTTTGATTAAATCCCAAAGTACTTGATAATTGTTGATCCTTGACTTGTTTGTAATTTAGAAACAATAATGACAGATGAAGAATGCTTATGAGTAACTGATTAAGCAGTGATGGCAGTTGCCAAATCCAGTGAATGTCAAATACGATTCTGTTCTGCTCCATCAAGGGCCTATCATGGATGAAACAAAGTGTTTATTCTGGGAATAGACAATTTGAGTCACCAGTTGACTGATGTAAGATTGTCTGCTCACTTTGGCAAATAGGAAAGTTGAATATTACAATTTATTATTGATGTTCTTGTTGCAGGAGAACTGTGATCCTCATTGTGTTTTTCTTTAATCAATCTTGGCCCAGTGGCTTGTGCTTTCAGGCACTAAACAAATATTTGTTAAATAAAATAATGAATGTTTAAGGAAATCAATTTCTATTTCCTGAGAACTTATCAAGAGGATCTAAGGTAAAGAGAAGACAGATATTTTGGGAAGATGTGAATACAGGAAAATAACCTGGGTATAATGAGATGACAAAAAATAGTATGCAGTTTTATGAGTGTATCCTTGAGTTCTTGAATTTATTAACAGATGAAAACACAGGTTTTTTGTTGTTGTTGTTTTACTGGTATAGTCTGTCCTACAGCAGACATATGCTTACATGTTTTAGAGAACTAGTGGTAAGAAAAGATGGGTTTGCATAATGGTAAAGTGATCAATTCAACAAGAAGAGCTAACTATCCTAAATATATATGCACCCAATACAGGAGCACCCAGATTCATAAAGCAAGTCCTTAGTGACCTACAAAGAGACTTAGACTCCCACACAATAATAATGGGAGACTTTAACACCCCACTGTCAACATTAGACAGATCAACAAGACAGAAAGTTAACAAGGATACCCAGGAATTGAATTCAGCTCTGCACCAAGCGGACCTAATAGACATCTACAGAACTCTCCACCCCAAATCAACAGAATATACATTCTTTTCAGCACCACACCTACTCCAAAATTGACCACATAGTTGGAAGTAAAGCACTCCTCAGCAAATGTAAAAGAACAGCAATTATAACAAACTGTCTCTCCGACCACAGTGCAATCAAACTAGAACTCAGGATTAAGAAACGCACTCAAAACTGCTCAACTACATGGAAACTGAACAACCTGCTCCTGAATGACTACTGGGTAAATGATGAAATGAAGGCAGAAATAAAGATGTTCTTTGAAAGCAATGAGAACAAAGACACAACATACCAGAATCTCTGGGTCACATTCAAAGCAGTGTGTAGAGGGAAATTTATAGCACTAAATGCACTAAATGCTCACAAGAGAAAGCAGGAAAGATCCAAAACTGACACCCTAACATCACAATTAAAAGAACTAGAGAAGCAAGAGCAAACATATTCAAAAGCTAGCAGAAGGCAAGAAATAATTAAGATCAGAGCAGAACTGAAGGAAATAGAGACACAAAAAACCCTTCAAAAAATTAATGAATCCAGGAGCTGGTTTTTTGAAAAGATCAACAAAATTGATAGACCACTAGCAAGACTAATAAAGAAGAAAAGAGAGAAGAATCAAATAGACGCAATAAAAAATGATAAAGGGGATATCACCACCGATCCCACAGAAATACAAACTACCATCAGAGAATACTATAAACACCTCTACGCAAATAAACTAGAAAGGCTAGAAGAAATGGATAAATTCCTCGACACATACATCCTCCCAAGACTAAACCAGGAAGAAGTTGAATCTCTGAATAGACCAATAACAGGCTCTGAAATTGAGGCAATAATCAATAGCTTACCCACCAAAAAAAGTCCAGGACCAGATGGATTCACAGCTGAATTCTACCAGAGGTACAAAGAGGAGCTGGTACCATTCCTTCCGAAACTATTCCAATCAATAGAAAAAGAGGGAATCCTCCCTAACTCATTTTATGAGGACAGCATCATCCTGATACCAAAGCCTGGCAGAGACACAACCAAAAAAGAGAATCTTAGACCAATATCCTTGATGGACATCGATGCAAAAATCCTCAATAAAATACTGGCAAACCAAATCCAGCAGCACATCAAAAAGCTTATCCACCATGATCAAGTGGGCTTCATCCCTGGGATGCAAGGCTGGTTCAACATACGCAAATCGATAAATGTAATCCAGCATATAAACAGAACCAAAGACAAAAACCACATGATTATCTCAATAGATGCAGAAAAGGCCTTTGACAACATTCAACAACCCTTCATGCTAAAAACTCTCAATAAAGTAAGTATCGATGGGATGCATCTCAAAATAATAAGACCTATCTATGACAAACCCACAGCCAATATCATACGAAGTCGAATGGGCAAAAACTGGAAGCATTCCCTTTGAAAATGGGCACAAGACAGGGGTGCCCTCTCTCACCACTCCTATTCAACATAGTGTTGGAAGTTCTGGCCAGGGCAATCAGGCAGGAGAAGGAAATAAAGGGTATTCAATTAGGGAAAGAGGAAGTCAAATTGTCCCTGTTTGCAGATGACATGATCGTATATCTAGAAAACCCCATCATCTCAGCCCAAAATCTCCTCAAGCTGATAAGCAACTTCAGCAAAGTCTCGGGATACAAAATCAATGTACAGAAATCACAAGCATTCTTATACACCAATAACAGACAAACAGAGAGCCAAATCATGAGTGAACTCCCATTCACAATTGCTTCAAAGAGAATAAAATACCTAGGAATCCAACTTACAAGGGATGTGAAGGACCTCTTCAAGGAGAACTACAAACCGCGGTTCAATGAAATAAAAGAGGATACAAACAAATGGAAGAACATTCCATGCTCATGGGTAGGAAGAATCAATATCGTGAAAATGGCCATACTGCCCAAGGTAATTTATAGTTTCAATGTCATCCCCATCAAGCTACCAATGACTTTCTTCACAGAATTGGAAAAAACTACTTTAAAGTTCATATGGAACCAAAAAAGAGCCCGCATCACCAAGTCAATCCTAAGCAAAAGAACAAAGCTGGAGGCATCACCCTACCTGACTTCAAAGTATACTACAAGGCTACAGTAACCAAAACAGCATGGTACTGGTACAAAAACAGAGATACAGACCAATGGAACAGAACAGAGCCCTGAGAAATAATGCCACATATCTACAACTATCTGATCTTTGACAAACCTGACAAAAACAAGCAATGGAGAAAGGATTCCCTATTTAATAAATGGTGCTGGGAAAACTGGCTAGCCATATGTAGAAAGCTGAAACTGGATCCCTTCCTTACACTTTATACAAAAATTAAGTCAAGATGGATTACAGACTTAAATGTTAGACCTAAAACCATAAAAACCCTAGAAGAAAACGTAGGCAATACCATTCAGGACATAGGCATGGGCAAGGACTTCATGTCTAAAACACCAAAAGCAATGGCAACAAAACCCAAAATTGACAAATGGGATCTAATTAAACTAAAGAGCTTCTGCACAGCAAAAGAAACTACCATCAGAGTGAAAAGGCAACCTACAGAATGGGAGAAAATTTTTGCAACCTACTCATCTGACAAAGGGCTAATATCCAGAATGCACAGTGAACTCAAACAAATTTACAGGAAAAAAACAAACAACCCCATCAACAAGCGGGCAAAGGATATGAACAGACACTTCTCAAAAGAAGACATTTATGCAGCCAAAAAACACATGAAAAAATGCTCATCATCACTGGCCATCAGAGAAATGCAAATCAAAACCACAATGAGATACCATCTCACACCGGTTAGAATGGCAATCATTAAAATGTCAGGAAACAACAGGTGCTGGAGAGGATGTGGAGAAATAGGAACACTTTTACACTGTTGGTGGGACGGTAAACTAGTTCAACCATTGTGGAAGTCAGTGTGGCGATTCCTCAGGGATCTAAAAGTAGAAATATCATTTGACCCAGCCATCCCATTACTGGGTATACACCCAAAGGATTATAAATCATGCTGCTATAAAGACACATGCACATGTATGTTTATTGCGGCACTATTCACAATAGCAAAGACTTGGAACCAACCTAAATGTCCAACAACGATAGACTGGATTAAGAAAAGGTGGCAAATATACACCATGGAATACTATGCAGCCATAAAAAATGATAAGTTCATGTCCTTTATAGGGACATGGATGAAACTGGAAACCATCATTCTTAGCAGACTGTCGCAAGGACAAAAAACCACACACTGCATGTTCTCACTCATAGATGGGAATTGAACAATGAGAACACATGGACATAGGAAGGGGAACATCACACACCAGGGCCTGTTGTGGGGTGGGGGCTGGGGGGAGGGATAGCATTAGGAGATATACCTAATGCTAAATGACGAGTTAATGGGTGCAGCACACCAACATGGCACATGTATACATATGTAACAAACCTGCACGTTGTGCACATGTACCGTAAAACTTAAAGTATAATAATAAAATTTAAGAAAAAAAGAAAAGAAAAGATGGGTTTGTATTCTAGCTCTACTTTGCCCTTTCTGTGGGACACAGAGCCAGTCCTTACTATTCATAAAGAATAGTAAAATCACACAGCTCATGTTGAGGGACTCTTCAAACAGATTACTTCTGTGAGGTGTCATGCATATACCTAGCATACAGTCTCAAAGCATCCTCTTAGCCGCAGAACTATAGAGCCCAGGCAAGGGACTTCTTGTAATATAGACATTTAGGGGGATGTCAAGTCATGATTCTTTTCTCAGAAGTAAAAGTCTCTATAAAGAGTCATGTAATCAAGGAAATGTATTCTGGTAACTTTTATTTATTTTTTGAGATGGAGTCTTGCTCTGCCACCCAGGCTGTAGTGCAGTAGTGAGACTTCGGCTCACTGCAACTTCCACCTCCTGGGTTCAAGCGATTCTCCTGCCTCAGCCTCCCGAGTAGCTGGGATTACAGGTGCATGCCACCATGCCCTGCTAATTTATTGTATTTTTAGTAGAGATGAGGTTTCACCATGTTGTCCAGGCTGGTCTCAAACTCCTGATCTCAAGTGATCCTCCCACCTCAGCCTCCCAAAATGCTGGGATTACAGGCACAAGCCACCATGCCTGACCAAATTTATTTTTCATAAAACAATAACCAGTGGGCAGCATCACCCCATGTATGCTCCTCTGAAAGTAAAATTAAAGATAGTTCAATTTTAGAGAACTGAGTTATACACTGTATATATTGTATATAAGGAATAATTTACATATAATTGGCATTTTAATATTTGCTTTCTCATTTATTCTAGTTCATATTCAGTAGATATGTACACAAGCAGTACTATACTGGTTGCTTCTGACGGTACAGTGTGTGTTGCTGGTGCAGGTACCATACCAGTTGTTAATTTAAAAAATTTTTACACACTTGGGAGTACAAGTACAGGTTTCTTACATGCATATATTGCATAGTGGTGAAGTCTGGGCTTTTAGTGTACTCATCACTCAAATAATGAACCTTGTACCCAACAGATAGTCCTTCTACATTCACCCACTTCTTACTCTCCCATGTTTTATGGTCTCCAAGTGCCCATTATTACATTCTGTATGTCCATGTGTACCCATTGTTTGGCTCCCACTTATAAGTGAGACCATGTGGTATTTGATTTCTGTTTCTGAGTGGTTTCACTTAGGATAATGGCCACCAGTTCCATCTATGTTGCTGCAAAGGGCATGATCTCATTCTTTTTTATGTCTTAGTAGTATTTCATATATATATATTTTATATATAGTATATATATAGTATTTCATATATATATTTTATATATATATAAAATATATACTCTTAATGAATTGATCCCTTTATCATTATCCAATGACATTCTTTGTCTTTTTCTTTACTGTTCTTGTTTAAAGTCTATTTTATCTGGTACAAGTATATCTACTCCTTCTTGCTTTTGGTTTTCATTTGCATGGAATACATTTTTCTACTTCTTTACTTTCAATCTATATGTTTCTGTGGGTCAGGTGATTTTTCTTGTAGGCAGCACATAGTTGGATCATGGCTTTTTGAAATACATTCTGCCTAACTGTATCTCTTAAGTGGAGCATTTAGTCCATGTACATTCACAGTTAATATTGATATGTGAGACTTTGTTCCTGTTACATTGTTGATTGTTTTCATGTTTTATACATTATTTGTTTTTTTCTTTTTCTCTGTCTTTTTGTCTTTGTGCTTTGATGAAATTCTAACATGTTGCCATTTGATTTCTTTGTCTTCTTTCTTTGTGTGATTCTTTTATATGAACTGTGCATTTTGTATTTCAATGTGTTTTGTGATAGTGAATATTGAACTGTGTTTCCATGGTAAAGACCCCTTTGAACATTTCCTATAGGCCTGGCCTAGTGGTGACAAATTCTCTCTGCATTTGTTTGTCCAGGAGATACTTTATTTCTCTTTCATTTATCAACCTTGTTCTGAAAGGATACATAATTATTGGCTGGCAGTTTTTGTTTGTTTGTTTGCTTCTTCCTTTCAACACTATGAATATGCCATCCCATTCTCCTCTGGCCTGTAAAGTTTCTGCTGAAAAGTCTGCTGTTAATCTGATGGATGACCACATGTTTATAGGTGACTACGTGTTTCTCTCTTGGTATTTTTAAAATTATTTCACTTTGACTTTAGACATTCTAAATATAATATGCTGTGGTGAAGTCCTTTTTGCAGTGTATTTTCCTGGGGCTCACTGGGGCTTTTTCTATTGGTGTCTAACTTTCTTGATAGACTTGGGAAGTTTTCATCAATTATTTTCTTACATGTGTTTTCTAAAATTTTTGATCTCTTTTTCCCCTCAGGAATACCAATAATTTGTAAGTTTGGTCACTTTATTAGTCCCAGATGGCTCAAATACTTTGTTTATTCTTTTTAATTATTTTCTTATTTTTGTGTGACTACATTATTTCAGAAGATCTGTCTTTAAGTTCTGAGATTTTTTCTTCTGCTTGGTCTAGACTACTATGGAAGCTTTCAAATGTATTTTGTGTTTCCCTCAATAAACTTTTTATTTCCAGAACTTTTGCTTCATTTGCTAAAGATATTCATCTCTTTGGTAAATATCTCATTACCATATACTTAATTGATTTTCTCATTTCTTTGTGTTGATTTTCAGATTTCTCTTGCATCTCATTGAGCTTCTTTAAAAATCAGTATTTTGAATTATTTATCTGGTATTTCAAGGAGTACTTTTGGGTTGGAATCTCTTGCTGGACAGTTGTTGTGGTCCTTTGGTGGCATCATATTTTTCATGTTTCCTGTGTCCTTCCATTGATATCTGTGCATCTGGCATAGCAGTTGCATGTTCCAGTTGTTTGAAATTGCTTCTGTAGGGGAGATTTTTTTTCCTAAGGATATATGTATGTTGTTGATTAAGATATTTGGCTTTGATTTTGAGTGCCTGCATAGTGTGATTTTCATATGACTTCCTCAGTAATACACAGAGTGAGTAATCGCTGTGATATCATCAATGACTTAGGGTACAGTTATTATTTGTGGCTTTGATGAAGCATAACTGAGAACTTGGGATGCAAACTGAACCAGTCTTTGCGATCCAGTGGTAGCAGCAATGGGGTAAATGTGAGTGTTTTTAGGCCCCAGAGCACCTTACACTGACTTCAGTGTTAACAGGTCCTGGAGGGCTGATTTTTGGGTCTCCTGATGGCTTGCTTAGAGTAGATGGAATAGTGAACAAAGCATGTAGGTGGGTTCTTAGGCCCTTGGACAGCTGGAGTGGTGTGGGTGATGGCAGTAGTGGTATTGGAGCAACTACTGGGACCCAGGTGTTTTGTGTTGGTGTTGCTGGAGGCTGCGATGGGTTAGGTTAGCTCTCCGTCTTATACTGCCTATCACAGGGTGGTGAGTATTGTCCTAAGAGTGCATAAGAGAATTTGGTCTTCCCTGTTCCTCCCCAAGCTGGATGGTGGGTCCAGCTGCATCACCTCAAACTTGGCCTGAGGGTGGCACGGAGTCCAGCATTAAATTCAAAATGGTTCCAACCATGGGTTTGTTACCTGGGACAATGGGGCCCCTGCCAGGCAAGCAGGATTATCAAAAAGCTGTGGGAGTGCAGTTCACTCACATCTCAATCTTACAGTATCCCATTACAGGGCAGTGGGTATTGTCCTAGATATGCATAAAATAGGCTGATTTCCCTATCTCTCCTTGGCTGGAGCAGTTACAGCCGAATCAGCCTGAACTCAGACCAAAGGTGAAGCACAGTCTAGTGTTAAACTCTTAAAATGGCACCTTGGGCCTGGGACCAGATAGTAAATGGCACATTCCAAGCAAACAACATGGGCAAGAAGCTGTAAGAGGTGTAGGCTCTCACATCTCAGTCTCAATAGAAGCTTGCAGCAGGGTGGCAGGAACCCTCCCAGAGGTGTGTGGCAGTGCCTGATTTCTTTTTGGAGCATCACAGTGGCCACAGCTGTGTCTGAAGATCCCTATATCCAGGCTTTCAAAATGGCTCCCAACTGAGGCTACATACCAGGCTTGAATGCTTGAGGGATTCTATGTGGGTTCCCTTTTTGGAGCAATGTCTCTGTGCAATCTTTAGGCAACTCTATATGTAAGGTTCAGGGGCCTAGTAAGTCAAGGGTTTCTCCCATAGCCAAGATGGTAAAAGCCCATGTCTCAGGCCTCGGGGTTTCTCTCTGTTTCCCCATGTCCAAGAGCCTCTCTCAGATCTCAGTCAGCTCCTGTGTGGGCAAGCTGCCTCAAACTCTCTCCTTACTTACTTCTTGTGCTTCCCATCTCTTCTCTGGGGAATCCTAATATTATCTCCTAGACATTCTGTTCAAAATATGAGTATCTACTTACTACTCTGGTTTCTCTCCATGTACAAGGCATATGCTACCTGTGTCTAGTCAGCCATCTTGTTGTTAAATATTTGGAATATTATGCCTACTTCCTTCAATCTATTCATTCAACCAGCGTTTATTTGTTAACAACTTACTATGAATAAAGTATAGTTGGCACTAGAATTTTAGTGGTTCCACAAATGAATACCAGACATAGCTGCAGGCCTTACTGAGATAATAATACCATGTGCCAAGATCTTTGCAAAATGTTTATTAGGTTCCTTAACCCTCACAGTCCTTCTGTATGGTACATACAGGGTTTTATTTCAGTTTAATATTGAGAAAACTGAGGCAATAAAATTTAAGAAATTCACCAATGGTAAACCCAGTTTCTGGTTTTCAAAGATTTCCCTATTGCTGAAAATGCCTTCAATAGGTTATTACTATTACTTCCTATATTATAATAACCTGTCAGTAAATGTTGCATTTTGGAAACTTCTGAATTTAAAATCCAGAAGTTTTACTCCAACTAATTTCTTTCTGGATGTCCTGATAATAGAGGTGTAGGTCTGGGTCCTAGGCCAGGCTGGAGAAATGTTCCCACTCCCAAATGATGGTTCAGGACCTTACTTATCTCTTGAACTGAGCTCTCTTCACTGTACTGAGCTGACCCCTTCCCAGAGAGGACCTCTTCCTATTGTCACACAATGGCAGACAGAGGTACCGGGGGAAAATCTTTCCAACTTTAGCTCCAGAACAAAAAAGGTGGGTACCTTTTCTGGTATTCTTAACAAAGACCCTAGGACTTATCCTGTTGTTGTTTAAACTGTCCTGATTTAAATCCGCATGTGTCCATCCTGATTCACATAAACTGAGACTGTTTGCATGGGGGAGGGGCATCCCCTAATAAAAACTGAGGGGTTTTCTAGAAGCCAGATACCTCCATGTAGGCAAACACAAATGAATGCTACACAGGGGAACTTGAGGTTCATCTGTCCCCCAGGCTGGCCTCAGAGGATTCCTCCTTTTCCAGAAGATTTCTGTCTGGAAGTCCTGAGTATCCTCAACACTCAGGAGTGGCTGGATGAGGGAAGTAGAGAGAGAAAACACAATCGAAACCTCTCAAACACAAGCGAAAACCATAGGAAGTAATGATGGAACGCACAGCACTCTGAGTACATGTCAGAGTACTTGAAGCTGATTTGAAGCTTCCTGCCCAGACTCACTCAGGCATTATGACCGTCATGCACAACTGGCTTTTCACTCCCTGAGGATTCCCTCTGGCTGCCAGAACCTTCTCTCCCTAGGTCCCTTGAAGGGCCAGAGAGTTAACATCTTGTGGGAGCAGCCCCCAGGAAGTGATCTCTCCTGTTGGATGGCCCTGAGTCACATGTGCCACAGTAGCTCCCAGCTTTATCCCAGTGGGAACTACTGCCCCTCTACCAGTGCCTCTGTGGTCACCTCCCAAATAAACCAGTTGTACTTGCATCCTTTCCTCAGGGTCCTCAAATGCTCACATAGGCCATGATTGCATAGAATCCAGGCTTATTTTTGCAAAATACTTATCGTTCATTGTCAAATGCTTCTTACATAAGCATGAAAAGTAAGGGAGAAGAAAATGCATGATTTCCCTTCTAGAAGTACACAAACCACACGTGTGCACCCACATACATGCACACATATACACACTTAATAATCACAATTATAATCTCTTTTAAAGTTTGCTTATTTTAAATCGAGATATAAAATTGTATGTATTTGTTGTCTGCAACATGAATTTTTTTTTTTTTTTTTTGAGATGGAGTTTCACTCTTGTTGCCCAGGCTGGAGTGCAATGGCACAATCTTGGCTCTGCTCACTGCAACCTCCACCTCCTGGGTTCAAATGATTCTCCTGCCTCAGCCTCCTGAGTAGCTGGGATTACAGGCATGTGCGAACACATCCAACTAATTTTGTATTTTTTTTTTTTAATAGAGACAGGGTTTCTCCATGTTGGTCAGGCTGGTCTCGAACTCCCGACCTCGGGTGATCTGCCCTCCTCGGCCTCCCAAAGTGCTGGGATTACAGGCATGAGCCACCGAGCGCAGTCACAACATGATGTTTTAAGGTGTATATGCACCGTAGAATTGTTAAATCTAGCTAACTAATAAACATTACTACGTTATGTAGAATCATTTTTTTTTGTGGTGAGAACACTTAACATGCATTCTCTTAGCACTTTTTAAGAAAATAATATATTGTCGTTCACTGTAGTCACAATGCTGTACAACGTATCTCATTTCTCCTATTTAACTATAAATATACATCCTTTGACAAACATACCTTCAATCCCTCCTCCTTCCAAACCACTTCAGCCTCTGGCAAACCACCAATGTACTCTCTGCTACTATGTTACCAACTTTTTTAGATTTCACATTGACATGAGATTATACAGTAATTGTCTTTTTGTATCTGGCATATTTCACTTAACATATTGTCATTCACGTTCATCCATCTTGTTGCAAATGACAGGATTCTGTTCTTTTCATGGCTAAACAGTATTCCATTGTGTATATACACCACATTTTCTTTATCCTTTCATCCACCAATAGATACTTAGGTTGATTTCATATCTTGACTATTGTGAATAGGGCTGTGATAAACATGAGAATGCAGATTTCTTTTCAACATAATGATTTTGTTTCCTTTGGATAGATACCCAGTAGTGGGGTTGCTGGATCATAACGTAGTTTTATTTTTACTTTTTTGAGGAACTCCATATTGTTTTCCATAATGACTATACTTATTTTCATTTCCACCAGCAGTGTTTTAGAGTTCCCTTTTTTCACATTCTTGTCAACTTTTGCTAGTTTTTGTCTTTTTGATGACAGCCATTATAACAGGAGGTAAGGTAATATTTAATTGTGGTTTTGATTTCCATTTCACCAATGATTAGTGATGTTGAGTATTGTTTTACATATGTGTTGGCTATTCATATATCTTCTTTTGAGAAATATCTATTTAGGTCTTCTGTCCATTTTTAAAATTTGGTTATCTATTTTTGTGCTATTGAAGTGTTTGAGTTTCTTAGATATTTTGGATATTAACCTTTTATGAAATGTAGAGTTTCAAACATTTGTTCTCATTCTATAGGTTGTCTCTTCACTCTGCTGATTGTTTTCTTTGCTGTGCAAAGCTTTTTAACTTGATATAATCTCATCTGTCTATTTTTGCTTTTGTTGCCTGTGCTTTTGCGGTAATATCCAGAAAATCATTGCCCAGACCAACATTATAAAGCTTATCCCCTAAGTTTTCTTCTAGCAGTTTCACAGTTTTGGATCTTACATTTAAGTCTTTAATCTATTTTTAGTTAGTTTTTTTTATATGGTGAGAGATAAGGGTTAAATTTTATTTTTCTGCATGTGGATATCCAGTTTTATTTAATGAAGAGTCTGTCCTTTCTCCATTGTGTGTTCTTAGCATGTTTGTTGCAAATCAGTTGGCTGTAAATTCAGTGGCTTATTTCTGGGTTTTCTATTCTGCTCCATTTGTCTATGTATCCACGGGGTGTGCTAGCACCTCCCTCCTGCACGGGGTGTGCTAGCACCTCCCTCCCGCTTTGTCACTCTTATGGTATATTTAATACAGGATATTTTTCTCATTCATGTTTTTTGGGAAGGTGGATTATGTTGGATAAAATTCAAGTTGGGACTGAGTTCTACATCTGGGCTGATCCAAGGCAAGACCAGATTATATGGAGAAGCTGGAGTGGAGGACAGAAAAATTCCTAAGAATGTGAAGATTTAGAAATAAGTAAAAAATTCTTGAAAGACTCCAGTCTTTGAAGACCTTGAAAATTGTGAAGTGAAGTAAAAGCCAAAAACTCCCAGGAGTAAAGCTAGACCCAGTTAATGTATGACTGTAGGTAGAATAAATAGAAAGACTTATCAAAGTTTTTAAATTCATATAATTGTATCAGATGAGAGACATTGAGTCATAGCCATTTTCCCAGGTCACCTTTCCCTTCTCAGACACCCTTGGTTCAGGAGTAGACTCCATAGCCAAGGTTTCCCAGTTCCTTGGAACAAACCATTAAGGTCACAGAGAACAGGTGATTGAAAAAGATGGTGCTACCCACCCTGGATAGTGCTCTTGCTAAACCACACATGGGGGTGGGGAAGGCCAGACAGCCTTGAGATGTTCTCACTGTGATCCTGGCCATGGGCATACAGAGGCACATCACACTGAAAAGAAAGCAAACAACATTTCCAACTTCACACCCAGTGTCAAAGACCAAATCTGGCATAGGGTGACTGAACTGGAGATCTGGAGGGCAGAGGGGGCACACTGAAGGGAAAGGAGAAGGGATCTCCTGAATTTCCATTTCTAGGAAAGAGCCAGCACCCTAATTTAGACCAAAAAAGCAGAAAAAGAAGACTTCAAATCAGGAGAGCCTCCAGAAGGAGGTGCAGGGTTGGGAACCTCCCTCACCAGAGTGAAGGCAAGCCATCTTCCCAGAACAGAGACCCTGTTGAGAAAGACATCTCAGTTCCTGCTCCAGAAGGGACAGACTCTTTGAAAATGTAAATCCAGACAAAGCATCAGGCATCTGTTACCACAGAACTGTCGGAGGAGAACAGGGAAATGTCAGCAAGTTCCCCTGAAACAAAGCAGTGTCAGCCTCTGAGCAGAGCCCAGGCCCTATCCAACCAGACTGGACTTGGGAAAGTAGGAACACCGAAGGTCACATACTCCCAGAAGAGAAAAATTAGAAGTCAGGGTAGGCTAGGACCTGTGTTCTGAATTAGTGGGAGGAAAATCTTTGTTCCTGCTTCTCTAGGTGGGAATAGCTGACATGGCACTCAAGGCTTCTTTTCCTTCCTGAAGAATTATTCTGCACTACTAGCAGTTATTTATAACTTACAAAACTCTATGATAGCTCTCATAAAAATGGAATTCGATAATCAGAAAGATTTGCTTCCGGCAGTATATAGTTTTCACTGCAGCTCAGATTTTTTCCAGTAGTCTCTCCCCTTATAATAAAAACAAAAGAAAACAAACAAACAAACAAACAAAAAACCCTCATAGAACGATGTTTTTATTTGGTCACAAAATAAGGCTACCAGTCTTAGTAGTTTTGACCTGATTATTTAGATAAGAGCAGAAAGACTGTAACTTTCTATACAGGCCTTCTTAAGTTGCCTCCCTGGATGTTTTCATAAGGAGTCTCAGATGGGACTTTTTTATTACTCTATTGCTGTCCTGAAGCTAGGAAGAACAAGCCCAAGAAATTATCTCCACTAGATTTCACCTGCAAATAGTATAAATTTTGGCAAGTTCTTCTCTTTTCAAGGCCCCCAAAATATGCCATTTCCTGGACTCTCTGGGAAGTGACTTGTGTTACCACCTGTAAGTCTGGATCCTGTAAGCGAGATACCAGGCTACTGTTCCTGGGATGGCTTTGTAAGAAAGGGCTCCATAAATTACCTTAGAAGTGGCCTGGTCAAACCTGAAAAAAAGAGCATCATTTTTGAATATGACATTCTGGCAAGTCTTGGGTTGTGTAACCAACTTTCCAATTGTATCCTGAAAAGAAGGAAGACAAATTTTTCATGAATGTATGCAAATAACTGCACTGCTATGAATAGGAAGGAGACTCAATTAGAGTTTCTGGATTTCTGGATGTCAGAGAAAATATATCATTTAAAAGTTTTCCCTTAGCTTACCAGTGCAGGGTCTATTAAATGATTAAATTGTTATGATTTACACACAACACGGTAACAAAGTTTGTATGTTTGTATGTGTGTCTAACAAATAACAAAGGATATTTGAATATATGTCCTATATATATTTACATATATTTTCTTTATATATAAATATATATATTTCCTTTATATATAAATATATATTTATGTATATTTTCTTTATATATAAATATATATTTATATAGAGAATATAGATAGGTAATATATATTAAAATGTCAGCAATATGAAAAATAAAGCTATAGTCATCCATCATCAATTTATTCAATCCCATATAATTAATTCTGGTTCCACTGGGTCTTGGGTTAGCAGTCTCATGAACCTCTCTGCTTTTCAACTGCAGAAAATTCTTACTCAGTACCCCCATATGGTATTAAAGTTGTCTAAGGGATGCCATCAGATATTGGAAGCCTATACTCAAAAATCTAGTTTTCAATGAAACAGTTGTTGGAAATAACTGTTATACCCCTTTTTCACAGGGATCTAAGACAGTCCTTCTTTGAGTACCAGAAAAACTCTAGCCTGTAGCTGATTATAGAACATTTGGGGAAAGATTAGAATAAAACAAAACCTACCTGTAGAAGACAGAGATAGAAAATGGCTGTGGTAAATTTATTACTGATAATTTTCAAAAGTGAAAAGTCTGATGAGAGTTCATGACAAGAATAATGCAACTGACAAGGAAATTAGATTGATGCTGTGGCTTGTGAAATAAAGAAGAAAATAAGGTTAAACCAAAAAAGGTTTTGACAAAATGCCTGTAAGCATAATGATTAAAGATATTTTCCAAGAATACAGTGAATATTTTATTTCGTAAAAATGAATAAACAATTTTTATGAAGAAAAATATTTTGAGATGTAACTATAATAATCTTAAAACAATATATTACCATATCCCAAGAATATACCAAGCCCTTAGTAAGAATATATGTCAAGCATACATGATACTATCAAGAAGTTTAGTAAGTTTGATGTAAATTCTAATTATCTGCATTTTTAACAAAAGACAAAACAAAACCAACTCCATTGTTAATATTGATGTGTATCATCAAATGTAAAGTATTGGCCTAGATGACGCTAGATCCAAATTAAAGAAATGAGGCTATTCACACCTGTAATCCCAGCACTCTGGGAGGCCGAGGCAGGCGGATCACCTGAGGTCAGGAGTTCGAGACCAGCCTGGCCAATATGGCAAAATCCCAACTCTACCAAAAATACAAAAATTAGTCAGGGATGGAGACAGGCACCTGTAATCCCAGCTACTCGGGAGGCTGAGGCATGAGAATCTCTTGAACCCGGGAGGCGGAGGTTGCAGTGAGCCGAGATTGTGCCACTGCATTCCAGCCTAGGGAATAGAATGACACTCTGTCTAAAAATAAATAAATAAATAAATAAATGAGGTTATGGTCATATAAACATTTTAAATAATAACTGAATTTATGACTGATAACACTTTACTGTTGTTGCCTAATGTCATCAGGCCAATCACATGTATATACCTATATATAAACATAGGAAAACTTGGCAGAACTATTGCTTGCTATTTATTTCAGTGTTTCTGAGGTTATGACATATGGAAAGAAAAGGCATTGACTAATAACTGTAGACTTCCCATAAAACATGCCATCTCTGAAGAAGTCATGCTTTGTTTAATGAAAAGGATACACTCTGATATATATATTGTTAGGCAATTTCCTCATTGTGTGAACATCACAGAGTGTACTTACATAGACCTAAATGGTATGTCCTACCACACACCTACATTGTATAGTATATAGTCTATTGCTCCTAAGCTACAAACCTGGGTGGTATGTTACTGTACTGAGTACTGCAGGCAATTGTAATGCATGGTAAGTATTTGTGTTTCTAAACATATCTAGACATGGAAAAGGTATGGTAAAAGTACAGTATTTTATTTATTTATTTATATTTTATTTTATTTTATTTTATTTTGAGACAGAGTCTCACTCTGTCACCCAGGCTGGAGTGCAGTGGCACAATCTCAGCTAACTGCAGCCTCCACCTCCCAGGTTCGAGTGATTCTCCTGCCTCAGCCTTCTGAGTAGCTGGGATTACAGGTGCCCACCACCACACTTGGCTAAGTTTTGTATTTTTAGTAGAGACGGGGTTTCACCATGTTGGCAAGGCTGGTCTCGAACTCCTGACCTTAAGTGATCTAGTCGCCTCAGCCTCCCAAAGCACTGGGATTACAGGCATGAGCCACTGCGCCCAGCCAAAAGTACAGTATTTTAACCTTATGGAACCACTGTCAAATATGTGTTTCATAATTGACTGAAACGTCATTATGGAGTGCATGACTATAGTTATTTTAATGATAAAAATTTAACAATTGGAAGGCTGAGCAGTGTGTTTATTTGACAATTCTTTCAATGAAACTCATAAATCATAATATATCAAACACACTAATTATTCCTAGAGCTTTTCTTTTTATAAGGTGAAAAAATTAAACTGTATGATGTTTCAAGGTACGGTTGGGAAATCTCAAAGACAGTTTTAGGTGTAAGAGATATTCTGAAAATTTTATTTTATTCCATTTTATATTAAAGATTTGAACTGGAAAGCCAAAATCAAATTTGTTAGGAAACTTGAAAATTTAGCTCAGAACCATAAATACCAAATAAATGATAATTGACAACACATTTGAAAGGGAAAATAAAGTACTTCAAAATAGAAGGTAATGTAATCATAAATAATCTTAGCTCTTTCATAATTGAAGAGCCAATTATTCTGTAATAGATCCAAAGATGCTTCTTTGCAGCATATAAAAATTAGAGAAGGCTGGGCACGGTGGCTCACGCCTGTAATCCCAACACTTTGGGAGGGCTGAGGCAGGCGGATCACGAGGTCAGGAGTTCAAGACCAGCCTGGCCAACATAGTGAAACCCTGTCTCTACTAAAGATACAAAAAAATTAGCCAGGCATTGTGGCAGGCACCTGTAATCCCAGCTACTCAGGAGGCTGAGGCAGGGGAATCCCTTGCACCCGAGAGGTGGAGGTTGCAGTGAGCAGAGATCGTGCCACTGCACTCCAGCCTGGGCAAGAGTGTGAGACTCCGGCTCAAAAATAAATAAATAAATAAATAAATAAAAAATAAATGGAGGAAAAAGCATATAAACCTAAAATGATGCTTAACAATTAATGTCTTAGTATTCTAGTCTTACTAAGAAGTAATAAGCATCTAATGATTTTCAATTAATTTAATATTTGTTCAAGGTTTTAAGTTACTTAAAGGCTTTAGAAATTATGTTCAAGCTAACGTACTATAAAATATAGTTACTATTGAAATAGTTTGTCAAAATTAATTTAGTTAAAAACAAACTTACATGTTTTATGATCTTAAAACATTAGGAATTATTTAACTTATTTTTATCAGAAAGCCTATATACATTTAGAAAAGCATACCCATGAACCTGTCTCAAAAAATTAAAAATGGAACTACCACATAATCCAGCACTCTCACTACTGGGTGTGAATTCAGTATGGCAAAGTGAGGTCACTCCCACATTTATTGAATCAGTATTTACAATAGCCAAGATACATAATCAACCCAAGTGCCCAAAAATGAATGAATGGAGAAAGAAAATGTGGTATATATACACAACTGAATTCTATTTAGCCATAAAACTCATAAAATCTTGTCATTTGAGGCAAACATGGATGGACTTGCAAAATATTATCTTAAATAAGCCAGATGAAGAAAGACAAATGTCTCATGATCTCACTCATATGTGGAATCCAGAAAAAGAAAAAAAAAGTTAATATCCTAGAAGCATAGAATGGAACAGTGGTTTCCAGAGACCGAAGAGAGGAGGGAAGAGGAGAGCATGGGGAGAGTTTAGTCCACAGGCACAAAGTTACAATTAGATACGAGGAATAATTTCTGGTGTTATTCTGCATAGTAGAGTGATGATGGGTTAACTGTAAGGTATTGTATATTACCAAGTAGCTACAAGACAGGCTTCTGAATGTCTTCAACACAAAGAAATGATAAATGTGTGAGGAGATGGTCATGCTAAATACCTTGAATTGATCATTATGCAACATATATATGTATCAAAATATCAACTTGAACTCCATAAATACACAAAATTGTAATGTATCAATTTTTTTAAAAAATGTGTTCAAGAAGTGGTTCCCAAACTAAAGAAAAAAAATAGGATGGTAAAAAAAGCTTGTATTATATTTGACACTGATAGAACTGAGAAGATAACGGTAGTTTTATTGAACCAAATTTGTTAACGAATTTGCCAAAGATTTACTTAAATTACGTGAATTTGGATTTTTAAAAAGTTTCTGAATTGGTTTCTTTAAAATACTTGCTTAATTCAGCACATTTAAAGCATTAGAAATCAAACTTTTTTATTTTCTTGGGAATTTAAAAATATTCCATTTACACAAGTCCTTATGACTCCTATAGAATGAGAATGAGGACACGCTGAAGGGTGTGCTATAATTTATGTATGTTTTCCGTTGATACACGGATTGCTTTCCTATATTATATTCAGGTAGCACTCAGGTCACTCTCTAGGCATGAGATCAGTTTGATTCAAAGGTAAGTACAAGAAAATTGAGCCCTGGCTAGGGCTAGATCTCTGAATCTCACGCTCATCACAAGGCAGTTCTTGTTTTAAGTGATTCATGAAAAGAGGTACTTTTTTAAAAACCTGAAAACAGTTGCTTTTCTGAATTTTAGGAAAAGTAGTCAGAATCCACGGATTCAGAGCTAAGTGATCTTTGGGTGAGTTGAAGTCTTTGGAAGGGATTGCTTTGGTAGATACAGTAATGGCTGGGGTAAAGATTGAAAGAAGATTTTTAATAACTGCGGTGTTCATCTGTCTGAGAGGAAACTTTGAACTGAACCACGTCTCCTTTCCCACAGAGCCTCTGCCTAATACCTGGCTTTATGGCATAATTGCAAGCCAAAGAGAAAAATATCCAAAAATAGTGCAGTCAGAAAAGCCCCTAAAGCCCCCTGTTATGCCACTGCCAGTCTTCACGTCTAGAGCAGTGGGTAAGGCAGTGTGTCTCATGCTGGCTTCATCCAATAGCTTCATATTGTCTTAGCTCCTGAATGCTGGACCTAGCAAAGAACATTGATTCTAGTAACTAAGTTTCTGCTTAATTCTGGTCTCCGAAGTCTTTCCTGTAGCTTACTTAAGTAATGTTGATGCTCATCTTCTGTGTTTGAGGCCCTACCATGGTTCCCTGTCTTCTGCTCCAAATCTCTGTGAACTGTGTATCTGATTCATCCCATTTCTAATTCCTTTAAAATCTCAACTTCTTGTTTTTTTTTTTTCATTTTTTAAATTATACTTGAAGTTCTAGGGTACATGTGCACAATGTGCAGGTTTGTTACATACGTATACATGTGCCATGTTGGTGTGCTGTACCCATTAACTCGTCATTTACATTAGGTATATCTCCTAATGCTCGACTTTTTTTTATAAACAACAATCATAATGATTGGCTCACCATTATGTTTTCAGGTTTTTCTAATGTGTTGTGCTAACAAGTGGTGGTGCTGGGATTCCAGAGTCTGGATTGTTATTATTTTAAGAGACAGGATCTCTGTCACCAGGTTGGAGTGCAGTGGCGTGATCATGGCTCACTGCAGCCTCAACTTCCTGGGCTCAAGGGATCTTCCCACCTCAGCCTCCTGAGTAGCTGAGACTACAGGTGCATACCACCACATTCAGCTAATTTTTTTGTAGAGAAGGGTTCTTTCTATATTGGTCAAACTGTTTTAGAATTCCTGGTTTCAAATGATCCTCCTGCCTCAGCCTCTCAAAATACAGGCATTACAGGTGTGAGCCACCATGCACAGTCCCTGGATTCTTAAATACGAAAGTGTGACTATGACATTTTAATTTCTATATTGCCTATTCTATGGGTCAATGAGAGGAAACGCTAGCACATAATGAATTTCTGCTCTGTAGATACTAAATTTTGATAAATCTTTTTCTAGTATATAAATAGTCTTATGACTGTTGACATTTCTATGTTAAAATCCAAAGTATTATGAATTAACTGTGAGAAATTATATAACTTTTAATAATTAAGGAATAAGCTAAAGCATGCATGAACACTAGTCTAGCCAAAAAGTACCATTCAGACAGTCAGAAATTATGTATGCTTTTGCCTTAACCAGTGAGATATGTTATTTTAGTCACTATGTCACTTTATTATTAATAATAATTACCCCAACCAAAATAGATTGGCTAAAAGAATAATGCATTTAATAATTGTATGCAAACAACTTTCCAGATCTCACCTCTAAGTTGTCATAGTGCTGCTTTGCTTTCAAATTGCCATAACAAATTATACTTAATGTAATAACTCAAGTTATTAACAATTAACTTGGTTGCTACCTCTTAATGCAATTGCAAGTTAAATTTTCATTCTGTGGGCAAAGTGAATAAGAGACTAACCACTTATTATACTGATAGGTTAGCGTTTTCATTGTTAAATAGTGGCCCACGGGGCTGTGTAATTGTCAAAATAAACGTAAAACACTGGAAATGAAGGATTGGATTTTTTCCATTAGGGATAAATATTGAAGTTTGTTACAATTTAAATGAATAATCAACTGCTTACATTTCTATACCTATCTTTCCCAAATTGATAATACAGTATATTATTACTGTTACTGAAGGGGGAAAAGTTCCCTTGTACCCCTCGCAGGGCATGCGATGAGAGTGTGGCTCACTTCTTCAGTGCCCCACTGCTCAAACTTCTAAGAGAGCATGCAGACGGGCAGGCTGTGGGGCTCTGACACCACAACAGTGTCTAGGGGTGAATGTTTACAGCTCCTGAAGCCCCAGTGGGCGTGTGTTACAGGGTGCTCTTTTAGTTTGCTGTCTGTAGGCAGCTTGTGTTAACCAGCTCATTTAGACCCTCTACCTTGTCACAAAGACAGAGGCTTTCTGTATCCTTGGTTCCTGCCTTGGTGTACCAGAAGAATCAGATCACACTTGGGCTTAGAGAATGAGTGCAAGGTCTTATTGAGTGGAGGTACCTCCGGGGAAGTCAGAAGGGGATGGAATGGGAAGGTGTCCCCCTGGAGTTGGGGTGCTCAGTGGCCTGGGCTCTCCTCCAACTGCCCTAGCCAAACTCCGCTCATTCTGCTTCTGTCAGCCAGTCGGTGGCCTGCCATGGTGCAGGTGCCTATTGGTGCACTGCTCTCAACAGTGAGCCACCTGTGTGTCTGCCTGCTAGGATCTCCACGGGTTTTAGAGGCACAGGATGGGGGTGTGGCAGGCCAGGGTGTTCTTGGGAAATGCAACATTTGTGTGCTAAGGCAGGAGTGCCTGTTCTCACCTAGGTCCATAGGCACAGGCCCAGGGGGTGGAGCCCTCACCAGGGACCTGCCCTTCCCTTCCCAGCACCTCCCTGCCCCACTTCCGTATCATTACTGTGGGCTTAAAAAATGGGAAGGTGAGAGTCATAAGAGTTTTGAGTCAGCGTTGTTGCATTATAACTCAGAATAGTAAGTGTGGTTCAAAGTTTCTGTATATGAAGGCCAAGCCAATATTGTAAAAACAAGAAAGACTTAGAAATCTATCACTGACTGTTCAGCTCTATCACAGCCACGCATGAAGTCCAAGCTTATAAACAGAACAGGATTTAGGAGAATATTTAAAACCCATTCTTCTGAGGAAGACAAGCCACAGACAGAGACCCATTGGGGCAGAGTGGTCCAGAAGGACTTCGTGACAGGTCATGACAAAATCAGGGATGAGTTCTCTGATGATGAGAGGCATGCTAAGCAAGGGGCACCTCACTGGAAAAAGCAATGAGGCAGGACTGAAGGCAACACTTTCTGGAACAAGCAGAAAGCAAGATATACCTAATTCAGATAATATTAGCTTCATAAAACTGAAAAGATTACAGCTTCTGGAGCCAGCAGGCATTGGTTCGGGCTTCTGTTCTGTGTCTTACTAGATCTGAAGAATTGGGCCAGTGGCCTAACCTAACTGAGCCTCAGTTTTTTCATTTGTAAAATGGCAATATTGATTTGTATGCTTTTTACAGCATTGTTCTTTATATTCAATTTAAACATAGTCCTCAATTATTATTATTATTATTATTATTATTTATTTGTAGAGATTTAGAGGGCACGAGGGCAGTTTTGTTACCTGGGTATATTGCATAGTGGTGAAGTCTGGGCTCTTGGTGTAGCTATCACTTTAATGGTGTACATTTTACACATTAAAGAATTTCTCACTCCTCACCCCCCTCCCAACCTCCCACCCTTCCAAGTCTCCAATGTCTATTATTTTATACCTTATGTCCATGTGTAGACATTATTCACCTACACGGAGAAGAACTAAGACAGTTATACTCAGAATAAATTTGAACACAGAGAGGCTGGAGGCAAGGAAAATAGGAAAGAATTTATGTTGGTGTGAGGGCAGTGAGAATAGATAGGAATAGGCAGCTATATGAGATGTGGCAAAGAACAGGTTGTATCTTGTCTTCAAGTACTATATACCATAGACAACTTACCATTTGTCATGAGCAATTGGAACAGAAAATAAAAGTTCCATTAATAGTATAATGAACAATAAAATGGTCGTGTAAACATACAAATGAATATTCTATAATAGTGAGAATTAAAAAACCCCAGCTATCACTACTTGGAACAACAGGAACATGTATCACAAGCATCATGGTCAATGAAAGAAGCCAGCCACAAAAGAGCATATAATCTACAAGCCATTCCTATGAATTACAACAACAGATATGGCAATACCAGCAAGGATAAAATATTAATGAATGTCTTCTGTGAAAATTCATCAAGCTTACATGTATATTTTTGTACATCTCTCCATTTTTGCTATACTTCAATTGTTAATTTTTCCTTTGGAAAAGCTACCATTTATGGAATTCTTTCTTTATGACAGATGTCCTCACTACCTCAAATACTTGATCTTTTGAATGCCTTCAACAAACTTCAGATTAGGTTCAGGTATTAACCCCATTTTTTATTGAAACAACTGACAACTTAATGATCCTAAACAAAATAATACAGCTGTTTTGCAGCAGAGCTGTGATTCCAGTTTCAGTTTGTGTGACTGTGAATCGTATGTGCTTAGCCACTGTACTGCATTGCTACAGTTCAAAATGCCTCTGAAGAGTACTGCAAAAATTTAGATTAATTGTTAATGCCCTCCAAAGGTGTTCTGTGTTTGAAATAATGGAAGGGTATGAATCAATAAATATCCCCATAGTGAGACCCCTAAGAACGTCAGTAAAACAAAGACCAAGTGTGTTGTCCTTGGCTCTGTGATTGCAAATAGAACCTATAGTTAAGTCTTCAGGATGCCTGAATCCTGGGTTGGAAGATTAAAGGATAATCACCTTAACTAACCCAAGTAAAAACAGAAAAATAATTTTTACTGTGTGAGTTTTCTAAAATCTGATTTTAATAAATATTCCATGAATATCTATGATCTGTATGCATAGCTTTCAGGAAACATACTGTGGGATCTACTTTTAAGATAAATTTATAGCATGTTCACGTGCACTGACAAAATATATTTTTCTTTAGAGATGCACTTTTATTTTGCAAGTTTTCAGCAATTTCATATTATAATGAAACCTTTACTTTCTTGGCTGATGGCATTCTCATTAATCACTGTTTATCCTCCTAACCTATTCTTTTCATATGATTGAAATGAATGCTTGAATGATTAGTTCTTTCCTTCAATTTATATACACAAAGGGAAGAAAAGCTTTGTATATAAACCTTTTGCTGATCTTTTCCTTGGCACTGTGGTTAGCACCCCATGAATGTCTTATCAAATACAATTTAGGAAAACAAAAAAGGACAAAGAGAGACCCTCTTGCCCCAAGAGAGTTTTTACTATATTGTCTGTTACAACATGGTAAACGAATGTGGCATCTTTTTATTTCTAAGTCCGATTTATAGGGCTGTCGATGACTAAGAGTGATTTTGCTTTTGAGGACAGATATTCTAAAGACTACACAGTTTAGCATTGTATTTGGTAAATATTTTGAGCCTTGTAATTCTCCCACAGTAGCATGTAAGCTTATAATTCTCTCATTTTTTTAAGGAAAACATTTTTCACTTCATCAGTATTCTTTTCTCTCTACCTTCTTTTGTATGCCAAAAATGTGTTTATATATGTAAATTTGATGTTATGCCTTAAATTTACTGTTATATTTCATAAAGAAGTAGCAATTGGTAATTAGCAAAAACAATACAGTGTTAATGAGTTATAATTTAATTTTGAAAGTCAGCTGTGGGAGATCTAAATTCTATTTTAGCATAAGTCTTTGAACCTCCCCACAAATGCCTAAAAAAAAATTATGCACAAAAAAGGGCAAAGAAAAATTAAGCTGCCTTACATTTTTAGCTGGATATTTGCTAGGTTTAAGGAAAAATAAACTGTATGGATGATTATATTTACCTGAAATTTTCCTCCATTATGCAGATCCATTGTGATACACTTTTCAGGTTAAGCCTACTAGAATTAGAGTAAAGGGACTCAAAAAGATATAAAGCAAGGCCAAATATTTTCTCTTGTATGAAATTTGTTAATTTTTCAAAAAAAATTATTGAACAAGTATTATGTGCCTGGCACCTTCCTAAGTATGGGGATTCACTAGGGAATAGAATAGATGTGCTCCTTCCCCACAAGGATTCATATTTTATTGGTGAAGGAGAGGACCTTAAATAGACCAAGAAATACACAAATATGATCATCTCAGATTGTGAGAGCAGTCGTGTAGAAGACAATAATAAGATAGAGAATGACGGAATGAGAGAGAGGATAACTAAGCTTTTAATTAGATTGTTTCTTTAGGTAATTTGTTCAGAGAAAAGTACTCTGAAGAGGTGACATTTAAAATAAGTGCTGAACATTAAGAGGGAGCAGAATATTCCAGGAAGAGGTGATCAACTGAGGATCAAGATTTCAAAGGAAAGAAAGGCCAGTGTGGATATTCAATAGAACAGAATCTGCTCAGTGGTGCCTTTTAGGGAGTTTGGTTGCATTCTGAATATAATGTAAGCTTTCTGATATAAAAATGATTGGATCTGATTTATGTTTTTGAAAAGGTGCTGGGTGCTGTATGGAGAATATATCTGGTAAGTGGGTGGAATGGTGATAAAACAAAATTAGAAAAAGTTGCAGAAATCATCCTTATGAGATATAAATGAAATAGATGGAATTGCACTCTCTCGTCTCTCTAACATAATTTGGAAAATATTCCAATTAATTGATATTTTGATTAATTGGGAACTTACCTGTATTTTAAATAAAGTTATTTCTCTTTTAGTAAAATCCACAAGAGCAAAATTGTACTTAACATTATACAGCTATATCTCAAAGATATTATGGACCCAGTTCCAGACCACCAGAGTAAACTGAATATTGGAATAAGCAAGTCACATGAACTCTTTGGTTTTCCAGTGCATGTAGAAGAAATGCTTACACTATACTGCAGTCTATTAAGTGTGCAATAGCATTATATATATGTGTGTACATATATTTAAAGTATATACCTTAATTTAAAAGATCTTAATTGTTGAAGATTACTAATTAACATCTGAGCCTTCAGGGAGTTGTAATTGTTTTGCTGTGGATGGTCTTGCCTCCATGAGTGCTCACTGATCAGGGTGGTAGCTGCTGAAGGCTGGGGGCTGTGGCAATTTCTTAAAATAGGACAACAATAAGGCTTGCCACATCTCTTGACTCCTCCTTTCATGAAAGATTTTTCTGTAGTATGCAATGCTGTTTGGTAGCATTTTACCCACAGTATAACTTCTTTCAAAATTGGAGTCACTCCTCTCAAACCATGTCGCTGCTCTATTAACTAAGTTTATGGCATATTCTAATTCCTTTGTTATCTTTTCAACCATATTGACAGCATCTTCACCGGGAGTAGATTCCATCTCAAGAAACCACTTTCTTTGTTCATCCATGAGAAATACCTCTTTATCTATTAAAGTTTTATCACGAGATTGCAATTCCATCACATCTTCAAGCCGCACTTCTAATTTTAGTTCTCCTTCTATTTCCACCACATCTGTAGTGACTTTCCCCCACTAAAGTCTTGAACTCCTTACAGTCATTCATGATGGTTGGTATCAACTTCTTCCAAACTTCTGTTAATGTTGATATTTTGACCTCCTCCCCTGAATCATGAATGTTCTTAATGACATCTAGAATGACGAATCTTTTCCGGAAGGTTTTCAATTTATTTTACCCAGATCCATTACAGAATGTGTTACTTAAATCATAAGACTCAAAAGCCAAAATTACTACTTGATCCATGGGCTGCAGATTGGATGATGTTCTAGGAGCACCGCCCCCTCCCACCCCCCCAAAAAAACACTGTAAATCTTCTTGTACATCTCCATCAGATATCTATGGTGACCCTTTGCATTATCAATCACCAGTAATATTTTGAAACAACTCATTTGTTCTGAGCAGTAGGCCTTGGCAGTAAGCATAAAATATATGGTAGTCCCTGCTGTAAACACATGTGTTATTATTCAGGCTTTGTTGTGCTATTTATAAAGCACAGTCAGAGTAAATTTAGCATAACTCTTGAGGGCCCTAATATTTTCAGAGTGTTATATGAGTAGTATATTGGTTTCAATTTAAAGTCACCAGCCACATTAGCTTCTAACAAGAGAGTTAGCCTGTCCTTAGAAGCTTTGAAGCCAGGAATTGATTTCTCCTCTTTAGCTATAAAAGTCCTAGATGGCATCTTCTTCTAATAGAAGGCAATTTTGTCACCATTTTAAGTCTGTTGTTTAGTGTAGTCACCTTCATCAATTATTTCAGCAAAATATTCTCGGTAATTTGCTGTAGCTTCTTTCTACATCAGTATTTGTTGCTTCATCTTGCACTTTTATGTTATGGAGATGGTACCTTTCCTTAAACCTCTTTAACGAGCCTCTGCTAGCTTCAAATTATTCTTCTCCAGTTTTCTTGCCTCTCTCAGCCTTCATAGAAGTGAAGAGAGTTAGGGTCTTGCTGTAGATTAGCTGTAGTTTTTAAGGAAATGTGTCTGGTTTAATCTTCTATCCAGTCCGCTCAAACTTTCTCTATATCAGATATAAGGCCATTTCACTTTCTTATCATTTGTACGTTCATTGGAGTAGCATCTTTAATTTTCTTCAATAACTTTTCATTGCACTCACAACTTGGCTAACTGTTGGGCTGATGAGGTCTAGCCTTCAGCCTTTCTCAGTTTTCCACCTGCCTTCCTCACTAAGCTTAATCATTTTCTAGCTTTTGATTTAGAGAGCGGGACATGCAACTCTTTCTTTTACTTGAATACTTAAAGGCAATTGTGTGGTTACTAATTGGCCTATTTTCAATATTGTTGTGTCTCAGGGAACAGGGACACCCAAAGAAAGGGATAGAGATGGGAGAACAGCCTTAGTGGAGGAGTCAGAACACACACAATACGTATTTATTAAGTTTGTCTTCTGGCCAAGCATGGTTGCTAATTCCAGTAATCTCAGCTATTCTGGGGGCTGAGGCGGGAGAATGGCTTGAGCCCAGGAGTTTGAGGCTGTAGTACTCTGTGATCATGCCAGTGAATAGCCACTGTATTCCAGCCTGGGCAACATAGTTAAACACCATTTCTAAAAAACAAAAAAAAGAAAAAAGAAAAAAGAGAGAGAGAATTGTTTGCCTTTTTATATGGGCATGGTCAGTTGCACCCTCAATTACAAGGGTAATATCAAAGATCACTGAGCACAGATTATCACAACAGATATAATGGTAATATAAAAGCATGAAATATTGCAAAATTGCAAGAATTACCAAAATGTGAAGCAGAGACACAAAGTCAGCACAAGCTGTTGGGAAAATTGTAATGATAGACTTTCTCAATGCAGGGTCACCACAAACCTTGAATTTGGAAAAAAAAAAAAACGCAGTATCTGTGAAGTACTATAAAGTGAGGTATAATAAACTGAGGTATTCCTGTAATCAGCTGTTGATGGGTCAAAAGTTACCTTAAAATCTTATGTAGTTAAATTGCTTGTATAAATCAGGAAGAAAAAAATCAGTGTTGAAAAAATGTGAGTAGTTTGGGTTAGACCTAAAACCATAAAAACCCTAGAAGAAAACCTAGGCATAACCATTCAGGACATAGGCATGGGCAAGGACTTCATGTCTAAAACACCAAAAGCAATGGCAACAAAAGCCAAAATTGACAAATGGGATCTAATTAAACTAAAGAGCTTCTGCACAGCAGAAGAAACTACCATCAGAGTGAACAGGCAACCTACAGAATGGGAGAAAATTTTTGCAACCTACTCATCTGACAAAGGGCTAATATCCAGAATCTACAATGAACTCAAACAAACTTAGAAGAAAAAAATAAACAACCCCATCAAAAAGTGGGCAAAGG
Source organism: Homo sapiens (assembly GCF_000001405.40). Classification (NCBI taxonomy): domain Eukaryota; kingdom Metazoa; phylum Chordata; class Mammalia; order Primates; family Hominidae; genus Homo; species Homo sapiens. Next base: position 109,739 of record NW_003315919.1, read on the forward strand.
ACATGAACAGACACTTCTCAAAAGAAGACATGTATGCAGCCAAAAAACACACGAAAAATGCTCACCATCACTGGCCATCAGAGAAATGCAAATCAAAACCACAATGAGATACCATCTCACACCAGTTAGAATGGCAATCATTAAAAAGTCAGGAAACAACAGTTGGTGGAGAGGATGTGGAGAAATAGGAACACTTTTACACTGTTGGTGGAACCATGAACTAGTTCAACCATTGTGGAAGTCAGTGTGGCGATTCCTCAGGGATCTAGAACTAGAAATACCATTTGACCCAGCCATCCCATTACTGGGTATATACCCAAAGGAGTATAAATCATGCTGCTATAAGGACACATGCACATGTATATTTATTGCGGCATTATTCACAATAGCAAAGACTTGGAACCAACCCAGATGTCCAACAATGATAGACTGGATTAAGAAAATGTGGCACATATACACCATAGAATACTATGCTGCCATAAAAAATGATGAGTTCATGTCCTTTGTAGGGACATGGATGAAATTGGAAATCATCATTCTCAGTAAACTATCGCAAGAACAAAAAACCAAACACCACATCTTCTCACTCATAGGTGGGAATTGAACAATGAGAACACATGGACACAGGAAGGGGAACATCACACTCTGGGGACTGTTGTGGGGTGGGGGGAGGGGGGAGGGATAGCATTAGGAGATATACCTAATGCTAAATGATGAGTTAATGGGTGCAGCACACCAACATGGCACATGTATACATATGTAACTAACCTGCACATTGTGCACATGTACCCTAAAACTTAGAGTATAATAATAATTAAAAAAAAATGTGAGTAGTTTGAATGAGAGTCAATTATGTTAAAGAAGGCCTGTGAGGCCTTGCTATTTGAGCACAGGGATACTTTGAATAAAATGTTTTCTGTTTATCAGATATGCAAATTAAATAACTTTATAATATCCTTTCTGCATCTCATGGTAAATGAAAAAGTCAAATAAAATGCTGATGTTATCTAGTTGATGAAAAATGCCTGTTAAACAAGAATGTTTATTTGTGTATAGTAAGCTCTTATAATGTGCCAGGCCCTGTACTAAGTATATAAGCATGACCTCATGAAATTTGCTGAACAATCTTATGAAAAAAATATTATTTCTGGCCGGACGCAGTGCACTCCAGCCTGGCAACAGAGTGAGACTCTGTCTTAAAAAAAAAAAAGAAAAAAATATATTATTTCTTCATTTTAGGAATGAGGAAGCTAAACTTAGAAATTCAAAATAAGTTGCCTACATTCACATAATGTGCAGGTGGCAGACATAACTTTCATCCCAGACAAAACAATTGAAGACAACAAATTCTATTAAAAGAAAGCTTTAAATTAAAATGATATCAATAATCATCAGTAATTGAATGTCTTTTCTGGAATCCATACCTTGCTATCAAAATGTTGTAATTCTAGTAATTTCTTTTACCAGCTTGAAGGAAAATAAAACAAGAATTGATTGGGATTATAATTCAGTGACTATGAAAGTAATGGGGCTGGCCATGGTGGCTCACACCTGTAATCTTGGCACTTGGGGCGGCTGAGGCAGGAGGATTTCTTGAGCCCAGGAGTTTGAGACCAGCCTGGGCAACATATCAAGACCTCATCTCCAGAAAAAAATAAAAAATAAAAATAAATGAAAAGCAAAAAGAGCCATTAGAAAAGTAAACAGTAAAGATAGATATAAAATATAAGATTTTATTCCAAGTGTTTCCATCTTGGGAAGTAAATTCAAATGTGCTAGAGCTGTACTGCTCAATTTGGTGGCCACCAGCCACATGTGGGCACTGGACACTCGAAATTTAATTAATCCAAATTGATATATACTGAAAGCTTAAAACAAACACTGTATTTCAAAGATTTCATATCAAAAATGCAAATATCTTATTAATAAATGATATTGATTACATATTGAAATGATAATATGTTGATTACTGGACCAGATAAAAGATATTACTAAATTAATTTTACCTACTTTGGTGTACTTTATGTGTCTACTAAAAATTGTTAAATGACATACATTTGCACACATTTGTGGTTGGCATTATGTTGCTGTAGGATGGTGCTTGTCTAGGGGATTTTCTCTGTTCCATCCGGAGCCTGAGTATCTGATAATATCAACATAAAATTGTTTTCTGTTATCTTTTCACAGAAGAGATATTTAATAGATGAGCTTAAAAAGGAAAGAGTTTTATGAGTTCCAAGGGATCGATTCTTATTTCCTGCATTTCCCATGGCACTAAGTAAATTGTGTTTAAGTAATATCATGAATTAAAAGTGAATTTTATAAAAATGAGTTTTATGGTGTTTAAAGGTGAATGAATAGCTTCCATTTTCATTTCAGTGTCCAAGATCACACAGTAAAAAGCATAATTCTAAGGTAAGAAGAGTTTTTAAGCTTAAAATTCATTTTGCTGAGAAGGATAGAATTGAGAGCTTGAAACGCTAAGGGGGTGGGGGAACAAAAAAAAAATGATAGGTTGCCTTTCTCAGAACATTGCCAAATTAGAAATTTGATCTTATTTCTCTTAGCAATTATACGCAAACTTGATGAAACAGGGTTCATTCTACTACGTGACATCTACATGACGTAACACATTATTTATTATTCATTGATCAAATTGACACATTGGTGCCATCACCTTTCTTAGTGAACCTACACATAAGAAAACAAATGAGGTAAGATTTTAGTTCCTGTCTCTGCTTCAGGAACTTGATGTTTAATTTCCAACAGTGAGGATTACTGAGTTTCAGTCACATTAAAATCTAACAGTGCTTATTCAACATGCCTCATTTCTTCTCCAGATCAGTTTAGGGTAGGTTTGCCTTGGAGAACAACATGTGGAGTTTTTGGAAGTGACAAATACACTGTTGGGGAACATTAATCACATGGAATTTAAAAGACATTTGCTTCTGGCCTTAAAGTCTTTGGTCTGGAACAAATGGCAGTCAAAATCATTCAGTCTGAAGTGTTGGAAAATGATCAGAAGTTTGAGTGAGTGACCGAGCATCTGTTGTATGTGAATCTGTCTGTGCATGTCATTAAGAAAAAGAGCCTTTAAAAAATTTCTGTCAAACTTATACTTGAAAACAGTCTACTGTTTCAAAGGGGGGTTCTTAATCAGTGAGAATGAAACACTTGGAAGGAATTAGACAATTCATAAACCTTAAGGAATAAAGTTTAACTTTCCTTTCCCAGTTCCCTTGACTACACAGACCCCAGTTTTAGATCTGTAGTCCATATTTGGTAATATAAATCTCAGAAATAAAAATGACAATTATAGAACTGGTTCATTCCAGCTCCTTTAAACTTTCAGATCATCAGAAAGTTAATCAAATGCTAACCATGAAATAAGAGGTATCCTACTCTTGGAACTTGGTAGAAATAGGTACTTTCAAGGTATTTTATTAGTAAAAAGAACACAGTTGGGGTTGGCACAGAGAAACACACACATTTGATATTTTTTTGTAATTATTCATGCCAAAACCCTGTTGCTATAACCTATTATGACTCAGTCTGATTATGACTCTTACAGAGTGTAAGATAGGATTTTTATTCATTATTAATATGTGGGATATTTAAAAGAAAAGAGAAAGAAATCATAATTTGGAGATTAGCAAAGATTTTTTTCTTTAGACAAAAGTGCTATCTCAAAAATTTTTAAATGAAAAAATTAGACCAGATTGTCTTTATAAATATTATTAAGAAACACCATTAACAATAGCCAAGATTTGAAAACAACCCAAGTGTCCATTAATAGACAAATGGATAAAAAACATGTGGTATGTATACACAACTGAGTACTATTCAGCCATAAAATAATGAGATTCTGGCATTTACAACATGGATGAAACTGGAAGTAATTATGTTAAATGAAATAAGCCAGGCACAGAAAGACAAATTTTTCATGTTCTCACTTATTTCTGGAAGCTGAAAATTAAAACAGTTGAACTCATCAAGATAGAGAGTGGAACAATGGTTACCAGAGGCTGGAAAGGTTAGTGGGGTTGGGGGTAGTAGAGATGGTTAATGGGTACAAAAATATACCTAGGTAGAATGAATAAGATCTAGTATTTGATAGCACAACAGGCTGTCTACAGTCAATGATAATTTATTGTCCATTTAAAAATAACTAAAAGAGTTTAATTGGATTATTTGTAATACAAAGAAAGGATAAATACCTGAGGAGACAGATACCCCCATTTACCCTGATGTTAGTTATTATTATGCAAGCCTGTATCAAAATATATCATGTACCCCATAAATATGAACACTTACTATGCACCCACACAAAAAAACTGTAACATAAAATTTACAATAAGAAAAAAAAGAAATACCATTAGAGAGGAAAAAGGCCAAACTGTTGGCTGAGAGAATATGGTTACAACCCATGCATTACACAAAGGACTTGCATACAGAATATATTTTTAAAATCTTAAAAATAAAAAAACCTAAAAATCAGTAGGAAAAAGGGAAATAATCTCATAGAATTATCTCCCTTCAATTATTTTGGAGATAATAATTCAAAGTAATCCTCCATTTTTTAAATTATTTTGAATAGGGATTTCACAAAAGAGGATATTCAAATGACCAGTAAATATACAGGAAATTATTCAACTATACTAGCTTTCTGATCAGAGAAACGCAAATTACAATGACAAGAAATATCACAACATAGCACTAGAAGAACAAAAATGTAAAAGAAAGAACAAATACCAATTGATTTGATGAATTAGAAAACTCAGATATTCATATATTGCTATTTGGGTAGTAAAATTATAAACTATTTGAGAAATGCTTCTTCAGTACTACTAAATCTAAACATGTGCCTAACATCTAACCCATAAATTTGACTCCTAGGTATATGTTCAATGAGATACACACATATGTGCACCAACTGAAAAGAGTGATCACAACACTAATATTTATAACAACTGGATAACTAAAAGTGATCTAGATATATTACTAAGCAAAATGCGTAAGTAAATGATAGGGTGTAGATCTACTGTGGTATTATACAGCTATGAGAAAAATACACTATTACTAGATAAAGCAACATGATTTAATCTTATAAGAAATAGATGAAGTGGAAAATATCGATCACAAAAGAAAACATAAAATGTGGTTTCATTCATATAAGGGTATGGATTAAATCTGATACACATATGGGAAAAATAGGTATTGGTACAAAAATTCAATTGTAGATGGATTCTGAATCAAATTATAAAATGTTTCTCAAAGGAAACACAGCAGAATATTTTTATTACCTGGAGGTAGACAAATATTTCTTAAATAGTATGCCAACAGTCACTAATTATAAAGCAAAAAATGTAATTTAATTATATTAAATAAAAAAATTCTGCTAATTGAGAGACATAATTAAGAGAGTGAAAAATTATGACACACGGTGGGGGAAAATATGTGCAATACTTGTATGCAAGGAAGGACATACCTGGAATGAATGTCTATATATATATTTTTTTTTTCTATAATCAATAACAAGGAGGTAAACAATCTAATAGAATATCTGGACAGACTTGACAGACATTTCATAAAAGAGGCTACCCAAATAGACAATAAACATATGAAAATGTGTTCAACAGCATTAGTCACCAGGAAATGCAAATAAAACCACAAGGAGATACTGCTATATATTCACCAGAATTGCTAAAATAAAAAAAGACTAGCAACACGAAGCATTGGTGAGAATGTGGAGCAATAGGAATTCTCACTCACTGATGGTGGGAGTGTAAATTAGTAAAATTAATACAACTGCTCTGAAACATTTTCTTAAATGCAGTGTATATGCAGTTTATGACACCACAGTTCTACTCCTAGGTATGTTCCCAGCAGCAATAATTTTTCATAGTGTTGGAAACAACCCTAATATCCATCGAGAGTATTATGTATGTAAATTGTGATAAATACATACAGAAAATATTGTATAATAATGAGAATTAATGAAATGTATCTATACAGTATAGTATGATGAAAATCATAGCACAGTTTGTTGTGTATGATTCCATTAACTCAACATTTCAAATTGGGCAAACTTAACCTATGATGTTAGAAGTCAGATAAGCTATTATTTTTGGGGTAGGCTTCGTGATTAGGAGTGGCATGGAGGGGACAGCTGGGCTGTGGTAATATTTAATTTTTCAATCTAGATACTTGCTTCACAGATGTGTTCTCTTTGTGAAAATTCATCAACCTGTGCACTTTTATTATGGTCCACGTTTTATTATGCATGTCACGCTTCAATAAAAATGTATTTGAAATGTATAAAACATTCAATAATTGAAGGCAACTTTTAAATGTAAGAAACAATGGATCAAATATGAATTTATGTTTCAAAATGCAAAATAAAGAAAATAATGTTCATGATGAGAGAGGCTATGGATGTGTGGGAACATGAGTTACATGGAAATCTGTACCTTCTGCTCAATTTTGCCTAACCTTCTCTAAAAAATAAGGCCTATTACAAATGATAAATGAAGTGATAAATGTGCGAATACAAGTACATTTAAAAATTATGGCTAAGATTAGTGTCACTAGGGTTTTATGACCTCATTTACCCAGAGAAAGTCATTTCTGTAATTATGACTTGCTTGCATTTCCTTCTGTGATTCCATCAATATCAATATTGATTTAATAAGGACTTTATTTGTCCCAGATGCAGATTATAAAATGAGGTTAACTTATACATTCCAGTTGTACACCCTCCCCAAAACAGCAATTGCATGCTGGTCAGTTATATGTGGGAGTCCAGGAGCCTCAGTTCCTCTCAGCATGGGACTCTTAAGGTGGCTTCCTCTTCTTAGGATGGGTGAGGTACAAGGGTGAGCACCCTGAAAGAGAACCTACTAGAAAACATATCACTTTGTTTTAAAATGTACAGAATGTCACTTCTGCATTATTCTACTGCTCAAGGCAGTCATAAAGACCCATCTAGGCTCCAGCAAAGGGGATTTGGTGCCATTTATTGATGGGAGAAGTGGCAGGGTTTTGGAAGAGCCTGTGAGGCAGGTGGTTTACTGTAGTGGTTTTTGGAAAATACCATTTGCCACAGTTTTGCCTGTAAGGCTCCCTACTACCAGCTCCTGCCCATTTCCTCAACTCCTCATCAACTCTGTAGCCATAATGCCCTTCCTTCTGTTTCTATAACTTGTCAAAATCAGTTTGATCTCAGGGCCTTTGTAGATGCTGATGGTAACACTTTTTTCAGAGAGGAAAGAGTAAAATGCTTTGTCCCAGATCTTGGACATTCTTTATGTCATCCGTTATAATTTCTTAATAGATCTTTCAAACTGCAATACAAAATATCGATTCCCTTGTGTAATATCTGCTTTACTGTGAGAAAAACTACCCTGCTTTTTGTATCATTATTATAACACAAAATATTATGTTATGCATTATTATTTCCTCAGTACTTAGAATGGTACCTATATATAGCTGGTATCTAATAAGCATTGTTTTAAAATGAAAACTAAATGACCAATAAATAAGAAATAGTGCTCACCCACAAGAAACTCGAAGCATGATGAACACGGCAGTTCCATAAGTGAACACTTGTAATAAAATTGAATGAGTCCTATAATGTATTTATGAACTGAAATCTAGGAAGTCATAGAGAATAGGTAAAATGATTCTTTAGAGGGTAAGTAGAAGAGCTGGTGAGAATTCCCACAGAAATAAATATTTGGGTCTTCAAGGGCAAATAGGCTGAGATATGAAAACAAATATTTATCATTTTTAGATCCACTGATAAAATCATGATAAATTTTAACATCCCTGTTTTTTCTTAAAAGTATTCATTTATTTCAGTGGTATTCTTTAGAAAAGTCTTAAATACTAACTTTGATCCAGATGTATGTGAGTAAGATGAGGTGTAATGTAATAATAGGCTCAACTAAAACAAGTCTGGTTAATGGTAAGTACATTATTCACATGATAAATCAGATGTAGGCCAACCATAGCCTGAAGACAAAATCATGGTTCCTGCCTGTTTTTAAAAAAGTTTTATTAAGACATAGTCACACCCATTCATTTACACATTGTTTAAAACTGCTTTGTTGCTACAACTACAGAGTTCAGTAGTTGTGGCAAAGACTGGATGGCCCATAAAGTCTGAAATATTTACTATCTGGCACTTTAAGGAAAAGTTGCCAACCCCACTGTCAAATGAATGATTGCATGGGCTTATAGTGAACAGGTTCTGGAGAACTGACTTTCAGTAGAGAAAATACTCCATTTAACCAACTATGCCATTACACCCAGTATCTCCTGAATATCCATCTGTCTTAGTCCTGTTCTGTACACACAATGCCATAGAATGAAAAAGCTTACAGAACAATCTCAGACCAAACTTACGATCTTAGCATCACATAAGATAAACTAATTTAATAATACCAGATACTGTATTTAGCAATCATGAATTAGAATTTTCAATCATGATTCCTCTCTATTGTCAGTTTCTCATCTCATTGCTACCACCCTAGAGCCTAGACCAAGGCACTGTCAATTCTTACTCTTTTAGGACAATACAAAATTTTTGGATCTCCTAACTACCCTTCCAATCCCATCTCCATATAGCAACCCCCAGAATAATCTTTTTAGTACACAAATTTCATCACATTAGGCCTTCAACTAAAGCCTGCCAAAGCTTCCTAAAATTTTGAATAAATCTAATTTTTATTCTCAAGGTTATGAACAATCCAACTAATCTTTAGCCCTCCGTTCCATCTTGACTCCTCTTCCCTACTACTGTCTTGTAACCACATTAACTCTTTCTCCATTCCTTGAAAAACATATGTGTGGGAACTAAAAAAGTCGATCTCATGGAAGTAGAGAGTAGCATGGTGGCTATTGGAGCCTGGAAAAGTTGGGGGATATGGTGGATGAAGAAAAGTTGGTTAATGGGTACAAATATTATACTCATTATAGTATACGGGTATCAAAACATCACATGTATACCCAAAATATGTACAACTATATCAATAAAGTACCGAAAAAAGAAAAGTTAATTTTTTTAATGATGCATCAAAGTTTAGATGTAACCTATTTCTTCTGCCTGGAATATTCTTAGAACACAACTACCACAGCTGCTGGCTCTACCTCACCCTTTCTGTCTCACCTTAAATGTTACCTCCTCACAGAAAACTTTCCAATCTCCTTTAATATCCCTGATTTCTGTCTTCTGTTACACTGAAATGTTCATTTCTTACAAAACCCTACTCATAATATGTATTGTCTCTTTAATTTTATTGTCTGTCTACTAAATGATTAGCCTTATAAGGAAAGTGGCTGTCTGCTTTGCTTATCATTGTATTCTCAAAGTGTAGTACAGATTCCAGAATATAATACTCATTCAGTAGATGATTAATTGAGTAAATAAATAAATACATATATAGATGGGGTAAATATCTACATGACAGCTATTAAAGATAATGTATCTAGGAATTTGGAAATGCTCAAATACACATTCACCACCTATTTATAATAATAAAATAAATTACTGACTTTTTCATTTAGGGCATATTATTAAACAAATGGAAGTCAGAGTAAATTAAAGCAGTTTTTTTTTAGTTAAGTAGTTTCTTTCTTGATTTTTATTTTATTTTTTACATTGGCACATAAAATTGTATGCATTTACCATGTACAACATGATGTTTTGAAGTATATATACATTGTGGAATGACTAAATCTAGCTAATTAACATATGTATTACCTCACATAGTTAATATCTTTCTGAGAAGAACACTTTACATTCCATTTAACGAATAAAATAGTGATTTAACTGTATCAGTCACTTCATAAAAAGGTACTTTCATAATTTTAGGTTATTCCTATTACTATCTTTTATACATATCCATTAAGGAAACACTAATTTTACAACTATTGTCTTCTAGGATTTGTGCTAGACTTTGGAGATATGAAGATGATTGAATCAAGGTCTTTATCTTTAACTGAGATGTTCATAATAATATCACAGAAAAGAAGACATATAAAGATCGTATACAAATAAATACAATACAATGTGGTAAAAGGTATGTACAATTAGAGTACTATTATAACGTATTGACACATGCTGCCAATTATGCCATAAATAATCAGAAAAGTCATACCCATGCATGCTACATTTAAGAAGGAACTTAAAATATGAGTCAGAGTTTGGTGGATTAAGTAGGAGGTGGGTAGAGAAAACAATACATGCAAAACCAAGATGGCCATAAAGAAAATGTTATGGGAAGCTAAATGATAGTGTACCCTGAGTTCATCCAAGATATTGAGTAAGGCTAATTTAAGTTTACAGCTGCACTAGGAAGAGCTTTATACAAGATACAAAGAAGTTTGGGTAACTTTCTCAATCTCTCAGAAAGAAGTTTAGGAGATAGAGCTATGTTTTCACACATCAGGAAGACTAAGGATGAATTGATTAGGGAGAGGCTACTGGGGAACAGTTAAGAAAATACTGCCTTTAATTCAGATAGATATTATATTATAAGGAACTGAATTAGGTTTGTAGCAGAGATAATAGGAAAGAGGAAATAAAATAAATTTGTTCATTTAGGAGGTAGTATTGATAAGATTTATTGATTAATAAGAACGTGGATTGCAGCATAATAAACAGTAAAGACCCAAGATGAGCATACTTTCTGTAAAGGGTCAAATGGTAAATATTTTAGGCTTTATGGACTTTCTGTTGCATCTACACACCTCTGCCATTGTAACACCAAAGAAGTCATAGACAGCAAGTACAGAAATGAATGTGGCTGCGTTCTAATACAAACTTCCAAAAAAAAAAAAAAGACAGCAAGCTGGATTTAACTTGTAGGAGTGCTTGCAGACTCCTGGTCTAAACCATGTTTCAGGTTTTGATCTTCAGTAATTTACTGGACAATAATTATTGACTTATGAATTTCATTGATTTACTAGTCTTGTGGATATTTGTGTAGAATTCTTGAGGTTCAAAATTTCAAGATTCAAAGAAGAGAATTTTGGATAACATCCTTTTCTGGATCCCTAATGTGGTTAATTTTGTACATTATGTGCATGTGCCCTGACAATTAATCTTATGAAAATAAATCTATTTCTATTTTTATTATCTATAAGTAGTACTTTAAAAGCAGATAAGTAATATTTATGTGCCTTAATAAAATTAAGAAATTTGCAATTAAAGAGATGTACTATGAAGCACAACACATTTACAGTTATTTATATCTTCCTGAAAGTGGGCTCCAAGGGCATTACTTTCACACAGATCATCTAGCAATATATTAAGAAAAATGTATACAACTATGAATGTCATATAGTTCCAGAGACCCAAACACATGGTATCTACATAGTCAATTAATTTTTAAATGGCCCACCTTGGTCCATAAATTACTAGAAAAATCTTGTGAAGGAGAAAGATTTTGCAAGATCACTATTTCAAATAAATTTAAAATCTCTCTCTTCCAAAGTATAAAGAACAAAGACTCAGAAAAGAGATGTCTATTCTGGTTCTTCTGAAACAGTTAGAATTGAAATTTCTGTCAGAGTCTCATATAGTTTAATTTTTATCTTAAGTCTAAGAAAAATAAAGAGGCCATTATAAGCATTAGCCATCTTTACTTTTCTCTCAATAAAGCAACAGATGATATCACATTCAAACTGAATTCATGTTAAAGGCAAACCAATAAGCTACTGATCTTATTTTGTACCTCAAAAATTAACAGAGATTAATACCTGCATATTACACTGAGGTGCATTTTTTCACATGGTATATTTTTTCTGCTTAACTAAATGAAAAGTTGTAGGTTTTAGCAAGAGCCAGTGCTAGATTCTATACCCATTAGCTCAATTGAGTAGAACCTAGTGCGATGGTTCAGTACCTAGGGCTTTACTCAGCTGTAGAGTCATTTTCTATTTCACTGCTCTTAGCAATTTATTGCACCAACAAATGAACCTTGTTCTCAATCTGAGATGCCACAGCAAGCACCTGTATTACCTTTTAGTAAAAGCCAAATTTGTAATAGTGTCTCTATGACAAGGTTGGTACCAATTTTTTTATATATACAAAGTCTCTCTTTTTTTTTTTTTTTTTTTTACTTCCATAGGGATTTTACAAAAGTCTCTGTGTTTATGAGCTTTAAGGTGTCTAACACAGGTTCTGGCACCTAATATGTGCTCAATAAATAGTTTTGGAATAAATGAATGAATGAATAAAATTGTCATCTTTCTTTTTTTTCCATTTTATGATCAGTTATCATATATTTTAGTTTGTAGATGTAGATACCCCAATCACGGATCTTCTTTACTTTGGGTGCTTAATTAGAGTCCTCAACTATGGTTTAAACTCTTGTAGATTTCAATCTAAACTATTTATTATTGATAGTTTTGTGCACCATTGTTCTTTTTTTCCCTTTCTTGTAGATCTCAGCCTCCATAACTTTAAAAATGGTATAAATTATATCGTTTAAAAATTGCAAGAAGAAAACTGTTGCAAACATTTGCAGTCACATGACCTGAAAGGACCTTTGAAGATACAACTTTTGGAATCTTAGTCTCCATTTTGAATATATACTTTTGCTGTTATAACCAGTAGAAGAGAATTTCCAGCAACTTATACGTTATTATTTTTCCAGGTGACTGAGCATTGAAAGAACTTTACTCATAAATGGGTTGTCAACACTAGCATGGAGTGTCTTAGGCAGCAGTAAGTTCACCATTCTTGGGTATTTAAAAAGAAGATGGATGAACATCTGAAAGGAATCCCGTAATGAGGTTTTGGCATTGCTCAACAGATTAACTTTTAACACTCTTCCATCTTTGATCTTTTTTACATTCCAACTTCAACGTAAAACTTTCTTGAAGCCAAGAAGTATTAATTTTAAAATGGAAAAAACACCATATTTATTTGTGTTACTTATTTATATCACATGAATATACTTTCAGATATGTGGATATTCAATACTGTCTACAGTTTGTAACATAGTAAAGAGGTGTCATTTTTAATAAGTCAAATGTTTTGCTTAAAAGTATATGTAATTTTTTCTATGAAATGTTGGTAAAATGTTGATCTCACAATAGATTTAATATTTTAATGTCAGGTTTCAAATGAATTTGATTTTTAAGAAATATATTTTCACCTTTACTTTAATATAGTTATTTTCTTCTTTTATGTAATTAGAAGTAGAACTATCCAAGAACATTTAAAATTAAATTAGGGAGTTTTTCAACTTGACTGTTAAATATTACTGCTACCTCTCCACTGTACTTAGACCTGCACCTTGTGTTAAGAAAAACATTTTAACAAATTTAAAAAATAAAGAAGTGATCTTGTCGACTTCACCATACATCTTTATGTTTTATGATATATGAGTACAGGAACCACTCATTTTTTTTTCAATGAAGCATTAATTTTCAATGAAATCTCTAAGAGCAAATGGCTATTACGGTCATTAAGAAAAGAAATATACAGAAGGGGAACATCACACACCAGGGCCTGTTGTGGGGTTGGGGGAGGGGGGAGGGATAGCATTAGGAGATATACCTAATGTTAAATGACGAGTTAATGGGTGCAGCACACCAACATGGCACATGTATACATATGTAACTAACCTGCACGTTGTGCACATGTACCCTAAAACTTAAAAGTATAATAAAAAAAATTTAAAAAAATAAAAAATAAAAAAAAGAAGAGAAATATAGGAAAACCAATATAAATTTAACTTTTTCTGGAGTAAAGCTCTTAGACTGTTATTTTAAGATTTAGGCTTTTTTTTTTATTCTGACCTATTGGATTTAGTATGTCAATACTCTATTGCTTCTTTATTATCATTTCCACATTGGAAACAGGCTGTGTAAAGAAAACATGAGCCATATTTTAATTAGTAAATATTACTAAATCTTTCTCTTCCTACTATCTCAAAAAAGGTATTTCAGCCAAGTGACAATACATCAATATATAATCCTGTATCTCACATTTCACATATAGCTTGATATTGTTTTTACAGTCTCCACCTTTGGCCGCAAAGGAGGAGCATTGCCTACCTACTGAAGAGTCAGAGTCTAGAGATGTTTCTGTCATCTTGACTTCAGAATATCAGTGTCCTTAATATTCAGTGGAGTGCTTAACAATTACCAGGTGCTATTCTAGGCACTGAGGACACAGCAATAAACAACCCTGACCAGATTCTCTGCTCCTTGTAGTTTATATTATAGTGTGGGGTTGGGGGCGGGAGGTAGCATTGATGGCAGCAAACAGATAATAAACACACACACAATCAATCATATTGACACAGATACAGCTTAAGTAGCTATAATTACTTAAAGTTTGATAAGAAAGTGGTGGAGTGGGGGGATCTTTGATCTAAGGCAGGGTAATCAAAAAAGATTTCTCTGCAAAGAAAATGTATATGGAGATCTTGTGGTAGATTGAGTTATTGGCTGGCACAGTTCTTTACCCCTCTATGTATCCACATCCTTTTTCATATAACGGTGCTGTTTCTACCACAAGGGAGGGGTATACCACCCTGCTTTTTGACTTTGGGCTCAGTGATATGACTTGCTTTGGACAATGGAATGTTTGCAGAGGTGGAGAAAACAAAGTCTTGAAACTTACTTGTGCAGAGCGGTATATCGATTTGTGCCTCTATCATCTGCAGAAGAAGCACTCCTTATGAGAAGTTGTAGCCCCTTACCAGGAGCCAGAAAATACAAATACAGGAACTCAACTCACAGTAAGAATCCCAGTCCTTCAGGATCGCAGCTTGGAACACAGACCCCCAGTTAAGCCCAGTCTAGCTTATCAGTCCATCAGCTAATACATACAATTATGAATAAGAATAAAATAATGTTGTTTAAGCCTCTGAGTAGTTTGTTATCCACCATATATTTTTGTATCGATCTGAAGGAAATGAGAGAGAAGCTTGCAGATATTTAGTGAGTAATGCTCCAGGCAGAATTAGCAGCAACAGCAAACATCCTAAGGAGCATGTGTTGTGTTCTTCTAGCAAGAGGATTGTGGCTATAGTAAAGTGAGCAGCGGGTTATTATTATTGTTGTTTTGGCCATTATTATGGTTGTCAATGTCCTCCAGTCAAATATAGTCAAGAACACACCTGAATAGGTTGGGTCTGTTATTCATTGCATGAAGAGCAAATACACACCATGGGGAACCATGGAGAACCATGGAGTATTTCAGTAAGAGGGTGTTTAAATGAAACTATTGAAGGATTTGGGCTTTGGTTGGGTTACTGGGGGAAAGTCTAAAGAAGTGGGGTTCCCTCTAGATTGCATGCATCTAGAAAGTGAGGGCAATTCTGTGGTTGGCTATCTCAATAAATATTATCTATAACAATAGGAGATTAGAATAAAAGCACAATTCCAATGATTAAAGAAGTAGCAGTCATTTATTTATCTGTGGGTTCCACATGGACATAGTTTTTGACTGTGCTTAGACAAAATTATAAAATGGATTTATTTTATCTAAACTTGTCACAACCTCAGAGTGATCTCATCTGAGGTTGTTATTCTGTGAGATGGCTTGTGTCTATCAAGAGAATAACATGGTCTAACATGAGTCTCAGATCGATTTCTGAATGTCTGTAGATGGTCATTTTTCTCTCCTTCAAGTCATTGTCGTGATCAGGGATAGCCTCGGGATCTCAACTCCAGTCACATAGGACACTTTTCCATAACATTTTTTAATACAGCAATAGTTGTCTACTACCCCCATGGTTAAATACAAAGGGATCTAGCAGTTACACACATACACACACACACACACATACACACAAGCTATAAGATGGCCTTATCAGTTTTATAGTTATTTAAAATATCCATGTATCAAAGAAAGAACATAGCTGACAACAAAAGTTATATTTCATTGTGTTCTGTAAACTTTCACTAAAATCAAGGTGTAGGCAATCTACTCTGTTCCAGGTACTGAATATTTAGTGAGTAAAATCAGTCCCCCGCCCTTATGGGATCCAGAATCTGTGTATACATGTAAGCAAATTATTTACTACCCTGTAAATGCAAAACAAGTATCAATGTTGTTTCAAAGTAAATCAATTTACAAAGAACATGATACATAGAAATCATGCATCACTACCATTTTTAAAAATTTGTTATTAAAAGAGCATCAAATATGGATTGACTAAGCAATGTAAACCAAAAATTAGTCAGACAAATAACAGTAAAAATCAATTTTCCAGTATCACAGTAGTCAGTAGCTATGGAAAAAACATACAGTCCAAAATACAGTCTGATTTTTAAATTAAACTGAATGATCAGAATCAAGCCTATAGGTGGAAATACATGGGCTGTTTTGTTAAAGTGCTAATTGAAATCTGACTGTTTCTTTCTGAGTAGCCATCCAATTGTTCCCTTTAACTCTTATAAATTTAGAGAACACAATGTTCTTCCAGTCACAAAAGTATTCTTATGCAAAATTCATCAATTTGGATTTTATTGTGCCCCAATTTTAGTTAGCTGCAACAAAACTAATAAAAGCTAGGACTTATTAAATGATTTATAATAACAACAATATCAGTGTGTTGGGTAAATGCAATTTCCAGGAGCTAAAACACTAGATTGCTTCAGATTTCAAAGACAATTATCTGTTTAAAAACCACTAGCTTCCCTCTTCAGCTTCATCCAGTAAACAATACATTTCAATAACATACCCTCTTCTCTATAGAAAGGCAATATAAATATTGCTCCAATTTATATTTATTTCCACTAAGAAGTGAAAGACTTAATCAGATGGGCTGTGATAGGAATAATAATTAGGACTCAGCTTTTAAATAATTTGCTTTGGAAAACTATATGTCATCAGAAAATGGAAAGTAAATTTCTATGTATTTTCTACTTGCCAGCTTGACTATATGATAGAGATAGTATTATCAAAGTTTAGAAAAAGGCATAAAGTAAGATATTCCCCTGCTTTGTTGTAAGTCTATGAAGACATGCTAAAATCCAATGGCTGGAAGCTTCTTTAAACGATTCATTAAGCCTAGAGGTCAAAAAAAGGAGTCTGTGGACTGGGCCCATGCTATTTGACCTTCCCCCATCTCCCTCTCTCCTGTTCTTCCTTCCTTCCTTCAATAACTGTCAAACATTTCAAATTAACCTTTTGACACAAAACTCTAGATTCTTGGCTACTCTTGAAGAATGGAAATGTCTCTTGCACCTGGACTGTGTTTCTGCATGGCTGCTGTCAGCAAAGGTAGACTGGGAGCAGGTTTTTCTAGGCTTGATATCTTTGCTCATTTATGTTCCTGCCTGATTTCTTCTGGCTTGCAGTTTGTGATGTCTGATTAAGTCTAACACCTTGCCTCCGACAACTAAATTATTCAAGAGAGATACATGGTTCCTTCACCTTCCCCACCATCCTTTCCTCGGAGTCTTGAAGTTCCACATACTATGTAGAATATATCTTTCTTTTGTTAATTTCAGTACATTTTCTCCAAATATGATTAATATGACTATGGATAATAACATGTAAGTCATAATATCCTTTCTGAGTTAAAGACAGATGATCAATCACATAATTCCTTTGTAACGTTCCTGTGCTTCTTGTTCTCTTTCCTTTAAATGCAGGTAATGACTTCATTCTCTAATGGTTATGGAGTTTAGTAAAATAAAAGTGAGTAAGAAATTTATTCCCATTCATCTAAGAGAATCATTTATTTTAATTCCAACCCCTGAAAATGCAGCAAGGGAGTGCAGGGGAGTCATTATTCACATGGCAAAGTAAAAACCAGTGCCATAACATTTATATTCTGGCTGCTATGACTACCACTACTAAGGGCCCTGCAAATCAAAACAGGGTCAGAAAGTAGCAAGAGGGTTTCACGTCCACAGAAAAATTCAAGTGTTTAAAAAGTTCAAGAAAATGATCAAAATGATAATCATATCAGAATATGTGGTTAAACAATACTGGGGTTGCTTTCTTAATATTTTAATAACACGGATTCAATTGTTTCCCCTAATCCGAAGAGAACATTCCAAGACCCTCACTAGATGCCTGAAACCAAGGATGGTACCAAATCCTATATATATGTTTCTCAGACAAACCCACTTATAATAAAGTTTGAAGTGTGACAGCAAAACCAGCAGATTTTTTTTTCTTCTTCACAATTTCATGGATAAAGGATTTGTTCTATGAATCTTAGCAACCTCAGTATACATTTTTTCTTTCCCTATTAAGTCAAGAACTTTCACCTTTTCACTTAAAGGAAGCACTTTCTGGCTTCTCTTTGGCATATCCAAATTGCCAGCATCATTACTCTTGTCATTATTATACTCTTTGGAGCCATTACTAAGTAAAATAAAAGTTACTTGAAAGCAAGCTGTGATACAGTGACATTTGATCTGATAACCAAGAAGCTTCTTAAGTGACTAATAGGCAGGTAGTGTATACAGCATGAAGACTCTAGAGAAAGGGATGGTTCACATCCCAGGCGGAATGGAGTGGTGCAGTGTTGGATTTGATGCCCTAGTCAGAACGGCGTGCGATTTAAAACAAGAAAGTTAGGGATCCAGTCTCATTATTTTGCATATGGCTACCCAGTCATCCCCAAATAAATTATTGAATAGGGAGTCTTTTCTTCATTGCTTATTTTTGTCATACTTGTCAAAGATCAGATGACTGTAGGTGTGTGGCTTTATTTCTGGCTTTTCTATTCTGTTGCACTGGTACTCACATTATGCCGTATCCAAAAATCAACTCAAGATGGACTAAATATTTAAATGTAAGACCTCTAACTGTAAGAATCCTAGAAGAAAACCTAGGAAACACCATTCTGGACATCAGCCTTGGGAAAGAATTTATGACTAAGTCCTCAAAAGGAAATGCAACTAAAACAAAAATTGACAAGTGGGACCTAATTAAACTAAAGTGCTTCAGCATAACAAAAGAAACTATCACCAGAGTAAACAACCTATATAATGGGAGAAAATATTTACAGACTATGCATCCAGTAAAGGTCCACTATCCACAATCCACAACAAACTTAACTAAACAACCAAAAACAAATAACCCTATTAAAAAGCAGGCAAAGGACATGAACAAACACTTCTTCTCAAAACAATAAATGTGGCCAAGAAACATATGAAAAAATGTTCAAAATCACTACTCATCAGAGAAATGCAAATCAAAGCCACAATCAGATACCATCTCACACCAGTCAGAATGGCTATGATAAAAGGTCAAACATTAGCATATGCTGTGAGCTGTGGATGCAAGGGAATGCTTATACACCATTGGTGGGAGTGTAAGTTTGTTCAACAACTTTGTAAAGCAGTTTGGAGATTTCTCAAAAAACTTAGAACTGCCATTCAACCCAGCAATCCCATTACTGGATATATATCCAACATAATATAAACTATACCAAAAAGACACATGAACTCACATATGTATCACAGGACCATTCACAATAGCAAAGACATAGAATCAACCCAGATGCCCATCCACATTAGACTGGATAAAGAAAATGTGGTACATATACAGCATGAAATACTATGCAGCCAGTAAAAAGAGTGAATGCTTGTCCTTTGGAGCAACATGGATGCAGCTGGAGGCCATTATCCTAAGCAAATTAACACAGGAGCAGGGAACCTTACTGCATGTTCTCACTTATGGGTGGGAGCTAAACATTGAGTATGTATGTTGATTAAGATGGTAACAATAGAAACTTGGGACTACTAAAGCAGGAGGGTAGGAAGGGGACCAAGGGTTGAAAAACTAACTATTGGGTATTATGCTTACTACCTGGGTGACGGGATCAATCATACCCCAAACCTCAGTGTCATGAAATATACCCATGTAACAAACCTGCACATATACCCCCTTAATCTAAAATAAACTTTGAAAGGTATATTTTTAAAAATTAAAAAATAAGGTGTATTATACATTTCTGGAATTTTTCATTTAATATTTTTGAACCATAGTTGCTCAGAAGTAATTGAAACCATAGAACACAAAACCATAGGTAAGGGGGAACTAGTGTATAACATATTTATAATTCCTAAGTAAAATTTTAAAAGTAATGTGTTTCTGTGTGTAAAGAGTTACATTATTCTAAAATTCTTATTTTAGAATTAGTATTGTTCCAGCAATCACTGTCCCATGTTTTTGATCCCTAAAGAAAATTATTCAAACATTACATTTACTTTTGGGTGAGACAGTCCACAGCGTTTCTAAATAATATTTGCATATTGCTTTTCCATGGTTTATCCAGTTTAGCAATGCCTCTCCCGCTGTAGATTAGTATTTAAATCCTTTACTTGCCATCTCCATCTCCACCACACATAAATTAACTTCTATTTCTCCACTTTAATATTTCAGTTACATCATGAGTTTGTTTAGATCAACCATGCTAAATTTGTTAAAAATATTTATATTGTGCTTTTTATATGTTAAGTATTCTGTAAGAACTTTACAAATACTTATTCATTTAATCCTCAAAGCATTATTTCCTGATCTTGGAAGCAGGTATTATTTATTTATTTATTTATTTATTTATTTTTTGAGACAGAATCTCACACTGTTGCCCAGGCTGGAGTGCAGTGGCGTGATCTCCCTCACTGCAAGCTCCACCTCCCAGGTTCAAGCCCTTCTCCTGCCTCAGCCTCCTGAGTAGCTGGGACTACAGGTGCCTGCCACCACACCCAGCTAATTTTTTTTGCATTTTTTAGTAGAGACAGGGTTTCACTGTGTTAGCCAGTATGGTCTCCATCTCGTGATCCACCCGGAAGGCGGGTATTATTTTTATGCACGTTTTGTAGAAATAAAACTGAAGCAGACAGGAGGTAAGTAATTTGGTGAAGTTCTGTTAGTAACCTGTAGATTTGAAGTTCAGTCTCAAGAAATTTGGCTCCAAAACCTATGTTTTTAACTGCTATGTTATATTGTCTCTCAATTGTCAGTGTTTATATTATGATTTGATAACCAATAAACAGCTTGTCTCCATCAGACCATTTACTATATTAGAATTTTTTTGAATTTAATAATATATATTAGTTACAGTGCTTCTGTTTATGCTCTATTTTTCTATTTCTTTTTGTCTGCCTTTCATGTTAGATGCTTTCTTGATATGTCTGGTAATCCTGATTCATATTTAAGAGCAGGGACACCATAACATGCATTGAAATTTCTGCACGAATGTAAGATGTTTGTTAACTGTCATCTTTACTGTACAGTAGTTTGAATGGGTTCCTTAGAGAACCTCCAATGTCAATAGCTTTCTGGGTTACTTTTATGTATGTGTGTGGAGTAGGATGATAATCCTTGGCAAAGAGGCTTCCAATCTCCTGCGTAAGTGGCAGCATATCCCCCTCTAGGGACTCCCAGGCTTCTGCTGGAGAGTGGAAGAACTGACTCATTGTTGCATCAATATGGGCATGGGATTTGGCACTCAGATTTCTTCATAAACAGATTTTTTTTTTTTTTTTGAGAGGGAGTCTCGCGTGTCGCCAGTCTGGAGTGCACTAGTGCGATCTCAGCTCACCGTCACCTCCGCCTCCCAGGTTCAAGCAATTCTCCTGCCTCAGCCTCCCGAATAGCTGGGACTACAAGCATGCGCCACTATGCTGAGCTAATTTTTGTATTTTTACCATGTTGGTGAGGTTGGTCTCAATCTCTTGACCTCATGATCCACCTGCCTTGGCCTCCCAAAGTGCTGGGATTACAGGCTTGAACCACTGCACCCGGCCCATAAACAGAATTTTAAATAATCCTCTTGTTTATAAACCCCATTACCTGATGCACCCAATTAATACGCCATTTGAATCTTTTATGAAAGTAATCTCTGAATGACTTTCCCAATTCCAGCTTAAGATTCATTTTCTTAAACTACCACACAGTCACCAGTCGATTAATTTTTACCTTACTGTTTTCTCATATTCTAACACAGTTATTGAGGATATGTACCTTTGTGCACAGCCATGTTGTATCATTTTAGTAAAGTTTTAAGAAACAGAAAAGATAAATGGCATGTTCACTATGCCAAATTTAATCAGGAATCCTTTTTTTTTCTTCTCAGAAAGATTTGTGGGCAATGTCATGAAAATTTAATTTCAAGTATGGAGCTATATGCCATATAAAAACAATCACTGTTTGACTACAAAAATCATTCTATAAGTTCCACTTCTGAATTCCACTGGAAGAACACAGCTCAGCCTTTGCCATTTATGCATAAGAAACAGGTCACATTAACAAAGAAAGCACACTGTCTGTCAATCTGGCAAGTGGCCATTTCAAAAATAAATTGTACCGAATTTCTAAATAGCCACACGGTAAAGTATTTTGGGAGGATGTGTTAGCAGTGAGAGTCATCAATAAAACAAAAATATATTATGTATTTAATTGGTCAGCTTTTTCTAATTGAGTGTAATGTCACTGTAAAAATATGTAGAGAGAAGGCCCGGCACAGTGGCTCACGCCTGTAATCCCAGCACTTTGGGAGGCCGAGGCGGGCGGATCACGAGGTCAGGAGATCGAGACCACCCTGGCTAACATGGTGAAACCCCATCTGTACCAAAAATACAAAAAGTTAGCCAGGCGTGGTGGTGGGTGCCTGTAGTCCCAGCTACTGGGGAGGCTGAGGCAGGAGAATGGCGTGAACCTGAGGGGCGGAGCTTGCAGTGAGCCGAGATCGTGCCACTGCACTTCAGCCTGGGCAACAGAGGGAGACTCTGTCTCAAAAAGAAAAAAAGAAAGGAAAAGAAAAGAAAAAATATATATACATATATAGAGAGAGAGAGATAGAAAGGTCAGTAATTTGCTACTTGCTCAAGAATCATGTATGTCCAAAAGTATGACCTTTATTGTGTTTTGTATTTGATAAAAAATAGAGGGGGAGTTTCATGATTTCCAAAGAGATAAATCAAGATAAATCAAGCAGTGTTTTATTATCTTTATTTATTCTCTAACCTTTAGATTAGTTAACTTTGAATATACTTTGGCATGCTTGAAAATGGGGGGTTCTAATTTTTCCTTGTTCTGGTAAAAAAATTATCTTTGTGCCTTTTCCCTTACCTATTAATATGAAACACAGTTATTTAAGAGCATGGGTTGTGGTGGAATGAACATAGGATTTAGGTCCCCTCTACCACACATTGTATTATTCATGTATTGATCTCTTAAAGGCTTAGTGTTTTCATGTAGCAGTGGGTCACATAATTCTGTGATTTACATATGGACCGCGTATTTCTTTTCTCCTAGTCTTACGATGAGAGTTTAATTATACAGCCCATGTGCTTAACACAGTACTCAGAATATAGTAAATATGTAATAACTGTTTCACATTTATTATTGTCATTATCTAATTCAACTGGCTAATAAGCTGCCCTTAATTTAAATAATAAAAGACAACGTCTTGATTTGTCTTCTTTTGAAAAAATATATATTTTTTGGTATTACAATAGTAAATAATTTTACTCTTCACAAAAAAAATTACGTAGATAGGCTTGCATCTATCTCCCCGGTCCAGTTAATGTTTCAGAAGTGGTTAAATCAGGATCAAGCCTCTAGCAAACTATTCTTGAGCCCTGGGAAGAAAGATGAACTTTTCTGTAGCCAAATGTATTTAAATATTTGGTTTTGGTTATTATAATATAAATAATATAAATAATATTATATAAATAATATAAACTTAAGTGTCATCACTGAGAGTAAACATACAGTGCAAAGTTAATAGAAAATGTATAATACACCTCACACATTATTTTGACATTTAAAAACTACAACCCAGACAGTTAGCTCAGTTGGTTACAGCATTGTGATAATAAAAACTACACCCTTATTTATTTGTTAAGGCACAATGACCAACACCAAGATCACAACTTAACAATGAATACAGAGTTGCTTGAATATTTGGGACACAAATTATAACCAGCTGGCAGCGATGATCTATGGTATAGCCTGTTCTGTGATTTCTCACAGGCTTTTTACAGATAGGCTCAATTTTTTCACAGCCACATATATCTTAATATGACTTAATACTGGGAAGTTGCCTTAGTCCAAATTCCCAGAAGGAACCAAGCTCTGCCCTATATTTTGAACTATGTCTCTCACATTGAATTAACAACTGGACATGGACTCGAGAAAGAAAATCACTATTTGGTAGGGCCTAGTGAGAGACATTAACATGAAATACAAAAAGTGCTGGAGATGGATTATATTTTCCCACCTATGTGAAACCTTGAGAAAGTTATGTCATATTCCTAAGCCTCAGATGTCTTCATCTGTAAATCAAAAAAAAAAAAAAGTTGGCCTGCCACATCGAGCTATTATGGGGATAAAAAGATATGATGAACTAGGGCTAAAGTAATATCAACCCCTACACATCACTCAGCTAATCTTTACATTTTCTTCACCAGATATGCATTATCTAGACAAGGCCTACTGGGACGAGTGAACATACGTATGCTCATCTCTATCTTCTCCACAGGGATGCCAAATCTTTAAAAAATGGCATGGGAAGTCTTTCTTCTAAATCGCATCTAATCATCAGTCACTCCAACCATTCATCTATCCACCCATCCATGCATCTATCCATCAATTATTTGTCTATAGATATCTATTTAGCATGAAATTTATACTATAAATATCCTAGGTTCTTCCATAGAAAAATAAATAACAATATTAACAATAGCATTTTTATTATATTTTCAGTATTCTCAGAACCTGTGCTGAGTATTTTATATGAATTTTTCATTTAACTTTCACTATGTTCCAATGAGGTACATATTATTATCTTTCTTCATTTTATAACTGCAAGACTTAATCCTTCCCAGAAAGAGAATTGTAATCTGAAACACAACAAATGTTTACACTAATACCGATAATAAAATACTAATATATAGGTAAAAGAGAACTCATTGAAATTTTATGGTAAGTTAGAGTAGAAAGAAGTTGCATTTATTTTTTCCAATACAAATTTCTGATCTTAAGAAAGTTAGAGTACTTTAAAAAATCAATAGTGAAAATATGGTCACTATAATTTAATGTTTCTGCAATTATTTAGAAGTTATATCTATTTATGATGCTGCCAATATCACAATTATAAATGATACAGACCTAAGAACAACTTTCAGTCATTCAAATTGCACAGTGTTTGAAGTCTATACTCATAGAAATTCATCAAGGACCAGAAAAACTGCACGTTTTAATTGGTTAAATGTATATTTCAGGGAAAACAAGTTTATTCAATTTCTGAAACAGAACAAACCATGACTAATAATATCGAAAGTATTCTTTTGGAGAGACTAGCTATAACTACAGTAGATCTTACAAAAGTGTTTGAAAATAATCTTATTTACCCAAATTCAATAAGATATTATTTTCAAAGTTTAGGACAAAAAGAAATTGAAGATGCAGAAAAAGCAACAAAATGTAATTGCCTTCAAATACCTAAGACTTTTAAGGAAATAATATTGTGCTTCATAATTGTCAAATATAGTTTTCATTCAAAACTTTTCCTATTAGAGTTCATAGGAAGGAAAGCTCACTGTGAACAGTACAAATAATAAGATCAAGGATGTGAACTAAATTGGAAGGAAAGGTCAGGCTAAGACGTAGCAAAAAAGAGGGAGTGGCATAAACAAAAACTGGAAAACCTAAGCAAATGCCTGACAGGACAGGATGTTTGACATTTATTTATTCATTTATGTAATCATTCCAGAAAATTACATCAAGGACAAACTGCATACTGAGCATGCTGATGTATTCTAAAGATAGAAATGCAGAAATGAATACGACACTGTCTCTGGTCCCAAGATTCTTGATTTTAAAGGGAAAGTCAATGTGTATATACACAAATGACAAAATGCATATTGTATGTGATGGAGGTGTCACAAAGAAAGATATAAGAGAGAAAGGGGCTAGAGAGTGACACGCGGCAGTGGGGGCTCAGTGGGGCATGGCAGTTTGGATAGGTTGGTTAACAATATCTGCTTTGTCAAGGAGACATTTGAATTGAGACCAAAAGGAATTGAAGAAGTGAAGAAAGACACAATTAGATATTTAAAGAAACAGCATTCCAGGTAAAAATAAAAATAAGTGCAAAATTATAAGGTGGAAGTCTATTGGGCATATTGAGGAAGGGGGAAACGGCTGGTGTGGTTAGAGCAGAATGAGACAGAACAGAATGTGAGACAAGGCCTGGGAACCATGTCAAAGGCATTTACTTATTTATTTTTCCCCTGAGTGGCAAAATAATCTTCTAGAGGCTTGTCTGCAGAAGAATGACATGACCTGGCTTACAATATTAAAAGAATCACTTTGGTTGCCCTATAGATTTACATAGGAAGACAGGGTAAGCATGATGGGGAAACAGCGTCAAGGCAGAGTGAAGAATGAAGGACCACCTTGCCGTGAACTGAGTGGATTTCAGATAGCAGACACAAATTGAAACATTAGTGGAGGTCAAATTTTAAAAGACTTTAAATATCAGGGCAAGTATTTTTCTACTTTATTTTGTAGGCAACTTATTAAACGTTAATGCTGAATTATATAATCATATACAAAGGAAGCTGAAGCGACAACTTTGAGGAGTTTACTGAAATAGAGATCATCTGGGCTGCTGTGTCAGGGAAAGCTTCATGGATAGCTTATCCCACAGGGATTATCCGGACCTTGGATTGTATCTGGCTTCTTGAGCAGCCTTGTTACTATCACCCACAGTACCCACGGTCATCCAAGAGAAAGAAAAATGAGTCTTGACCAAATCGTGGAACACAGCCGGCCTCGCTGCTGGGAAGAGCTGCTCTACCATTAATCTTTTGGACTAGGCATGTGCAGAGACTGGATGGGCTGAGCCCGAGGACAGCTGTTCTGAAGATAGCTGAAGCAGAACACGACAGACAAGAAAAGCCAGAGATGTATTTTGGTCATTCACTGACATTCAGTGAAACTGGCTGAGCCCTAGCTACAAAATTCTGAGAAATGGTGGCATCTCCAGGTGAAGTGTTAGGTAGCGGATAGAAAGGAGGCTGTTCCTAACCTAAGGATAGGACGAAACCAGAGCTAAAGAGGCAGAATTATTACTAAGACTAGAAGTTAAATTGTCCCCGATACCAGACCCTTCTTGCCTCCAGTAGCTATGTCCCTCTAGGTCCCCTGCACAGAGACACACACATGATGGAAGCAAGAAAATAAAGTTTAATTTGGAAATCTTATAATAGTTTATCAACAAAATGGTGTTCTCCATGTCATGGGAGTCAGGTAGTATCTTGGCTCGGCCCAGGGAGGGAAATTTTACACAGATTACGTGAGACCAAATGTTGAATTTCCTCTTTCCCTCTGATTTTCATCACTGCAACACATGAAAGTGCTTGCTTCTTTATAATTAATATCAGACCTCACATGAAATCTGGCCTCAGCTACATTCACTTCCTAATATTTCTTAACTGACTATATATATATATATATATATATATATATATTTTGTTGTTTGTTTGTTTGTTTGAGACAGAGTCTCGCTCTGTCACCCAGGCTAGAGTGCATTGGCACCATCTTGGCTCACTGCAACCTCCGTCTCCCGGGCTCAAGCAATTCTCCTGCCTCAGCCTCCCAAGTAGCTGGGATTAGAGGTGTCTGCCACCACACCTGCCTAATTTTTGTATTTTTAGTAGAGACTGGGTTTCACCATGTTGGCCAGGCTGGTCTCAAACTCCTGACCTCAGGTAATCTGCCCTCCTCAGCCTCCCAAAGTGCTGGGATTATAGGTGTGGGCCACCTGGCCTGGCCAATTGACAATATTTTATCTTTCTGTGGTATTAGAATAGCCATTATTCTTCACGTAGACTTACAGAACGTTAGAGATAGAAGACACCTTGGACATTACAATACATGCATTGACAGTGAGGAGAGAAGAAAAAAAGAATCAAAATCTATTTGACATCTGTTCTGTAACAGTTACATTACAATCTTTTAATGGTAGGAGTTATTCCCATTTTACATAAGGAAGAGAGAAAAATCAAAGAAACTAAATAACTTATCCAAAACCACATGGAATTTAAGTAATGTCTTCATTATCTATAAAGCTCATACTCCTTCCCTTCCTTCCTCCCTTCTTTCTTTCCTTTCTTCCTTCTTGCCTTCCTTTCATTTAACCGTTTATTCAACCAATATTTATCAGTACTCTGCTTTGTAGCAGCCATGATAAGCATTAGTGATACAATAATGAATGGTTCATGTCTTCAAGTAGCACAAAATGTATATTTTAGTTGTCCTTTTACTCTCTGTATCCCCTTATACATTTGGTGCTGCAGAAAGAAAAGAACAAAATTCTAAGAAGAGTCTATCAAGAGAAATTTACAAGAGGAAGACATTTATTCTAAGACTCAAATGTTGTGTAAAGGATATTAAGAGAAACATGGTATAAAGTTGTTTCAGGCTGGGCGTGGTGCCTCACGCCTGTAATCCCAGCATTTTGGGACGCCGAGGTGGGTGAATCACCTGAGGCTGGGAGTTCGAGAACAGCCTGACCAACATGGAGAAACCCTGTCTGTACTAAAAATACAAAAAATTAGCCAGGCATGGTGGCGTATGCCTGTAATCCAGGCTACTCAGGCTGAGTCAGGAGAATCGCTTGAACCCAGGAGGCCAAGGCTGCAGTGACCTGAGATCGCGCCATTGCACTCCAGCCTAGGGAGCAAGAGCAAAACTCCATCTCAAAAAAAAGCTGTTTCAGACAGTGGAGACAGGATATATGAAGCTCTGTACACAAGAGAGATAACAACTGTAGTGGATGCCACAATGAATCACCCACTTTGTTCTTTGAAGATGAAGGAAAATATTTATTTCCCCTAGTTGCTGGAAGTGCTGCCAGCAGACAGACCTTAGCTGACAGCTGTCTTTGAGAAGTGCCTTGACTCAAGAGAACAACTGTGTTCAAGGTCATATTGATTGCCTAGAGAAGTCTGCATCCAAAGACTGGTCAACTTGGAAGTACAGAGAGCTAACAGTTTCTCTCCAACTCAAGGCAATGCTGAAGGACTACCTCAGCTTCAGAGCTCCCATGTGATTGACTAAAGTCTTTGCTGACTTTGTATCACAGTTCAATATTTCTGTCTAATCCTGCTTCCTTCCCTTACCTGCCATAAGTATTAATCTCCAAAGTTCTCCTAAGCATCCCCTCTGAACACTAGCCTCCATCTCAAAGTCTGCTTTATAAAGAACATAGTTGGCAGCAAGTGGCAAAATGGTTTTGTAAAAATTAAATATGACCACTATGCTGGAAGTAGGTAAGATGGGATATGGTTAAAATAGAAAAGGAATGTAAGAAATACAGCCCAAGAAGTGTGCAGGGTTCTGGTCTTAAAGAATCATGTTGACTGCAACCTCTCAAAGAACAAAGCCCACAACAACTGACCTCAAACAGGAGCTCTTCACAACCTGACAGAAAGCATCTCTTCATACTTATCACACATCGTTGTCATGCATAGCACTTATCAAAGCCACTATTTTATAACTGGTAATTGGTAGTTTACCCGGCTGTGAACTCAGAGAGCAGAATATGAATCTGTCTTGTACACCACTGTAGCCCTCAGGGCTTAGTGCTGGCCATGCAGAATGAGTTCAGTATAAATTTGTTGAATCACTAAATGAATGTTAGCCATCACCCAACCAAGGGCAGCAAATAATTTTGAAAAGAACTCCCTCTTGCCAAGGATGTGGGACTCCTTTCATGGACATATAAAACATGTGACCTATCAAGACCTATTGCTATCTTATGTCTGCATTAATGTAATCAAATTCCACTTTGCTAGTGAGCATGCCCTTGTAAAATCTATTGTGCAGCTACATTTTTCATTTGTATCCTGAGAGGCGCTGAATAGTTACGTTATTAGGAATTTATAAAAGCTGGAAATTTGTCTGTTGAAGGTCCTGGGTGGATGAAGTGCGTCAATGATTTGAGAACCTATGTCAGGCTATAATATTTTATTAAAACAGCTTTAAATTCATGGTGCTCTAGTTTTTTTCACTTAATAGAAATAATAGAAATAGTGGGCTATAAATTCTCTGCTCCTGTTAGAAGGTGAAAATTTTCTCCTGAAAGCTTCACCCCAGCTCTTAATTGCAGACAAGATGAACCTGAGAATTCTAAAAATTGTTTGTTCTTAGGCTCTGTAGAGCTCATCATTGAAAATGTGGGTCTCCTAGACACTTGACTGTTTAATAAAAGTAATTCCTGTAAAGAAGGCACTTGGGGCATCTGGAATGGACAGATGATCATCCCCACATTGTGAGTTTATAAGAAAGAAAAAGCTGCCAGAAATGCAGACAAGTTGTAGGAATCCTAGCTCAATAGGAGTTTCTCTCTTTATGAAATTATTTAGGTATTTTTCTGTTGTATTAAAGCAGATTCCTCAAATATCCTATCAGCTGGATTGTTGGGTTTTTATTAAATGGATTTTTGAGAAATTAAAATAACAAAGAATTTGCAAAGCCACT
Organism: Homo sapiens; assembly: GCF_000001405.40. Taxonomy (NCBI): domain Eukaryota; kingdom Metazoa; phylum Chordata; class Mammalia; order Primates; family Hominidae; genus Homo; species Homo sapiens. The sequence goes on from NW_003315919.1 coordinate 140,226, forward strand.
GAAGATATTTTTCCATGATATTATATGAGAAACTTCGTGAATTTACTGTGAGAGGATTGAGAATAAGATGAAGAACCAAAAATGGTATACAAAAGTGTGAATAATTGTGAAGGATATAAGATTACACTACTTGCAGACTTACAAGTTAGCCTCCCACACTTTTATGGAGGCTGGCAGAAGACACAATACTCCTGGGTGAGAGACAAAAGACTATTATTACTCATGGCACAGCAGGCAGTGTGGGCTTCATATTTCCATCAGTTCCCTTTGCCTCTGCCTCCCTGGTCCCATGAGTGTGATGCAAGGGAGGACTGCTGAGGAATCTCAATTTTAGAGAGCCTCAATCTTATAAGAGAGCTACTGGAAAACCTTTCCAACTTTTACCCTAAAGAAAGACATCTTTTTTTTTTTTTTTTTTTTTCTTTTTGAGGGGGAGTCTTGCTCTGTTGCCCAGGCTGGAGTGCAGTGGCGCCATCCTGGCTCACTGCAACCTCCGTCTCCGGGTTTCAAACGATTCTCCTGCCTCAGCCTCTTGAATACCTGGAAATACAAGCGCCCGCCATCATGCCCGGCTAATTTTTGTATTTTAGTAGAGATGGGGTTTCACCATGTGGGCCAGGCTGGCCTCAAACTCCAGATCTCAAGTGATCCACCTGCTTCAGCCTCCCAAAGTGCTGGGATTACAGGCGTGAGCCATGACACCCGGCAGACATCATTTTTTTTAATCCAGGCCTAAAAATAAATCTTCTCTCTGTCATACAAGAATATGCTTTCTGTATTTACCAAGGCTGTTTGCTATCCAAACAGCTTTCAAAGTGTAGTCTGGAACAGAAGCTGTCAATGTTTCTTCACAAAATCTGCAAAAATCCAAGAGACACAAGACATTTCTCCCAACAAAAGGGCTATAAGATTGAATGCCTTTTTTTTAAAGATAAATATATTATCTTTTTCTATAGCTTATATGTTATATACAAGATTTTCTACTTTGTATTGCAAGAAAGACATGAAATACAAAATATAGAAAACCAGGGAGACAATGATCTGATAAGAGGAATATAAGTAAAATTCAAGTGATCTAAGTTCCATTATTTCCACCACTACCCTTAGTAGTGAAAGAATTATGCTAACAATGAAAATCACTTCAATTTAGTGAACACTTATTATGTACTTGGTAAGCATTTACAGACATTACTTAATGCAACAATCATAAGAAATGCAATATGGTATTTTATCTGTATTTAAAATAATCAATGAATTAAATTAAGCTCAAAGATTAAATATACCATTGATATTCTATGAATCCTTTTCAAGGCCTCAACCTATTTAACTCGCCACAAGAAACAAGATAGATGACAAACTCCTACGATATAGGGATAACAGGTTGCTGTGAAGGTAATAAAAATGTAATGACAATTTGCATTGCTCAAGCTATAAACCTTCCCACCCTCTCCCACTCAAGAAAGGATATCAGAAAGTGACTTTCTTATGAAAACCATTTTGAATCCACTCTAATTACATTATTCCCAAACTTGTTACTTTATAAGAAGCAGAAAATTATCTCTGGCACACTTTAAAACTGAATATGATATGTCAGTGAGTTGTAACTCTATAATTAAGACCCTCCCCTGGTGTATATGGAGATATGAATTATAATAACATAGAACCATTATTATGTAGATACATATATGGTTGTAATTATTTGATATGCACACTTAATTTCATAGCCCTCTCATGAGGGAGTGTGGAGTGTGTAAGGCTAGTCTTCGATTTAATTTTGGGGAAGGGATGTGGAAAGGAGGATGAGTAACAAATTTCCAGAAGGGAAAGAAAGCTTCCTACTGATGGCAATGCAAACATGCAAACATGCCAGATAGCCCTTCTTCATGCCTTTCTTCTTTCCTTCCCTTCCTCTCTTCAATCCTCTTTCCTCTCTTTCATTCCTAGGATTATTATTAAGACAGAGTTAGTCTTAAAGCCATTCGTTGGAGCAGAGGAGGGTGTTGGAACTGACCAGGGGAAAGAGTCTATCTGTATAGAAGTTTTACACAGCTTGGGGTTTAGAGTCTGACTGGAGTAAGGAGGCCACCCAGCCAGTCAGAGGCAGTGTAATGGTTGGTGATTAGTCATACATAGGGTGGTTGACTAAATCAATATACACATTAGGGATAATGGGAGCTGGGCTTCTCATTGATGGAGGACAGAATTACAGATGGTAAAGGGAAAAGTAAAAGAGATTTGGTGGTATTTATTTGAAATTGGAGGTATAAGTATTAATTAGTAGTTTAGATAGATGAATGTATAGACATAATAAGGAATGGAATATTTAAATAATTTGAAAGTTCTTTTGCACAAAATCAATAGAAACACTAAGGGATAATTCATGATTTTTATAGTGGAAAAACCCAGTACACAGTACCTTTGTGATGCAATCAAATTGTACATTATCAAGGACAAGACAAACTGAATTTTCATGTTACCCAATATGTTGCAATGCAAAGAACACAGTATTACTCTGTCCTATGGAGGCAGACCTAATTCTGTTGAAGAGGGAACATCACGTAGACTGAATTGCAGAGAAAGTCTACAAAATAACTGCCCTGTAATCTCTAAATGTGTCAAATTCATAAAAGTCAATGAAAGACTGAAGAACTAAAGAGACCTAACAGAAGTTTGTGCATGGTTCTAAACTGAATATTGTGCCAGTAAAGTTATTATTGCGGCAGCATGAAAATTTGAACGAGATTCAAAGATTAGGTGGTAGTAATGTAATGTGTTAGTGTTAATTTCCTGAGGTTGGTAGTTATATTGAAGTTAAATAGGAAGATATCCTTGTTGGTAGTTAATACACACTAAAAAATGATGGGGGTGGTAGGGTATTATGTTAACAGCTTGCTCTTAAGTTGTTCAGGGAAAAAAGTGTATCCCATATTTGCTTACAACTTTTCTGTATACTTAATGTGTTTTCTAAATACAAATAAATTAATAACTAAATAAGTAGATGTCAGAAATATTATTTTTCAACTAAGTTCTAACAATAAGAAGTATCTAAAGGGGACCTAGATAAAGGGAAACTTCAACTGTCAGGCACAATAGAGAATATGTTTGGGCCTAAGTACTTTTCAAGGGCCTAGGAAAATATCTAAGACCTAGAGAACAAACAAAATCATCAACTTGAAATTTAAACCACAAGATGAAAATTAATAAATATTTCAACAACATATTATGTTAGCCTCATTAACTGCCATAGTTAATATTTATAAAATTTTCATTATGTTTGAAAGCCTGTTGCAGGATTAATTTCTAACAGTGAAAGATTTCTCAGGCTTGTGAAATAATTGCTTAAAATGTCAGTCAACCATAAATAAAACACATTTCTCAGTTCTTAATTATTTTTAAAAGTAAAATAACAAAATATTTTCAAATATTTAGAACAAAACATGTATTTAATGTAGGATGGAGATATATTTTAACAGATTTCATATGGCAATGGGAGGGTTCTACAAAAGGACTTAAAAATGGTTTCCCGGTTAGAAGATAGTTCAATACGCATTAATCAGTCAGTGCAAATCTAAATCAAGAACGAAAATTCTAACACCTATCTTTGAAGAATCTGACAAAGCATAACAAAATTGGGATTTTTAGAATGAACAACCTTTTTTAAAGGACATCTCTTCCAAATGATTCAGGTGATCACCCGATAAATACAACACACTTCCTTAGCTTCCTACTTCCCTATCAGCCCTCACAATTTTCAATTCCCTTTAGCCAAAGATCACCAGGAACAGACTTGTGCTTGAACAGGTGGCTTTATTTTTTATTGCTTCAACACACCATAGGGAACCATAAGGTATCTGAGCAAGACAGGTTAGAAAAATCTGTTTAAGAATTTGGGTTTTGATTAGGTAATTTGGAGAGGTGTCTAAGGAAGCAGGGGTTTGCTCTACATTTGTTCTGTCAAAATGGGGGCAATTCTACAATTGAATATTTTAATATACCCCATCTATAGGAAGGGGAGATCAGTAAGATAATAAAGTTTAATTGGTAAAGAAGCAGCAATCCTTCATTTTGGCTGAGAGTGGAAGATACTTGCTGTTATGTGAAGTGTTAAGTGATGTGCTGAGATATTGTTTTTGAATCAGTTTCTAATGATCTCAGAATGACTTCTTGATGTTTTATGAGTTTTTTTACGGTGAGCGGGAGAAAAACATCATCTAGCTGTGATTGTCAGGCCCACTTGTTGTAACTTTGGAGGCTAGCTGTGAGCATTACATAGTTCCCAGATGTCAGTGGCTACTGTTTTTTACAATTCTTGGCAGGATCTTTCTGTTTCAAGAGTAAGTACTTTGCAGCACAAGCTTCCGGCCTCTTCCCTTCTCACTGCCTATCTTAATTATTACTTCTGCTTTTGTTTGCATTTTGGAAGTAATTGTAATGCATAGGACAAGAGCATAGGTTCTGTAGGGGTTTGGTTGCCTTGATTGAAGATGAAGATGTCCCTTCTTGATTTGTAAACTTGGGCAACTTATTTCACAAGCCTACGCAGGTTCTTCATCTATAAAATGGAATTAATAACTTCACAATCAACATTATGTACATAAAATGTTTACCATATTGTCTGATAGAGTGATCATTCAATAAAACTTTTGTTATAATCACTCTTGTTGGAGACTAGTAATTATAGCCACACTAACTTCTTCATTATGTGGCAAATTTATCAATGTCCTGGTAAAACCCCTGATCTAACCTTACCTTTGTCATTCAAGAAATACTTATTAAGTTCTTATTGTTTGGTTTACTGGGTTTATGGCTTTGAACTCTTAGGGACCTTACGTTCCAATGGAATAGGTGGATAATAGGCAAAACAACACAACAAAATTAGACATGACAAAAAGATGTTTGTTCAATAATGAAAATAAAATAGAATGCCTATTGTGACTGTTATAGAATGATTGTTTGGGAAATTCTTTTACAAGGAGGTGAACATTCAAACAGAAGTGGGATAATTTGAAGAAACCAGCTCTATGTCTATGTGGGGAAAGAGCCTATCAGACAGAGGGAACAACTGATGTACAGGATTTAAGGCAACAAAGAGTTGGCCTGTTCAACAATCTCCCACGATGTTGCCATTTGGTCTTGCATAACAATGGAATTAAACCTAGTCACAAAGAGACTTGAACATTGGAATTGAAATCATAGCAAAGGCAATAATGGGATATTTACCCCATTTTAAGGTTTCATCACTTGTTGTACATGACACCATTGATTTAGTAACAACTATTCTGAAAAAAAGTAAAATCATTACTACACACTCATTTATAAGACATTCCACTCAAAGAATCATCAAATATGAGGGAGACAATATCTTTGAACCAATAAATTCCTACCGTTTACTGAGTTCTTTTACTGTGTGCAAGTCCATGGGTAATATGCTTCACTATTACTTAATCCTCAGAACACAACAGGAAATAAATGTACACTCTTACTATCTTTACTTATAGATGAAGCAATTGAGTCCAGAAAGTTAAATGACCCAGAGTCATACTAAGTGACAAACACTGAATACCAGGTATCGTATGATCTCAGTCTTTGCCCTGAAACACTGTGTGATCAAAGCAAGGTCACCCTCCCTGAGCCTCAGTGTGCCATCTGTAGAATGAGTCATTTTAAACAGACATGAAGTCCCTCCAACTTTAATGTCTATTAACATCTAAAGAATAATAATTGTTAGAATTTAACCAACAACGCTGTCTAGAAAAATTCATTAGTATTTGCTTCTGTCATTTGTATAAATCAGTTATTCTCAACACTTAGCAGTTCTCAAACTTGAATCTGCATCAGAATAAGATAAGTTGGAAGGCTTGATTCAGTAGGTATGGTGTTAGACCAGAGAATTTCTGTTTCTTCCAAGGTCCCACTTCATGTTTATGTTGCTGTTCTGATGACAATGATTTGAGAAGTGCTGTTATAAATACAGGTCAAACAAATTAGGTGAAATATTTGTGTTTCATTTTTAAAAAATCATAAATAGCATACAGATTTGCTATGTGAATGACTGGTTTGGAATTGGGATTGGGAATTTGTTTCATTTTTGGTTTTTTGAAACCACTTTATTGAGATAAAACTGACATATAAAAAGCTGTACACATTTAATATACACACATCTTGATGAGTTTGGGGATAAGTATATACCCATCCCTATCACCACTAATAACAACTTAAAAATTTCCTTTACCTCCTCCTACTCCTTTTATAGTTATTTTTGTTTTGTTTATTTTGTTTGTTTGGGTAAGAGTTAACATACCCACATACCCACTTAGCAATTTTAAATATATGATATAGTATTATTAGCTGTAGGTAGTATGATGTATCTCCAGAACTTATTTATCTTGTATAACTGAAAATTAGTACCCTTAAAACATCACCTCTTGGCCGGGCAGTGGCTCACGTCTGTAATCCCAGCACTTTGGGAAGCCGAGGCAGGCGGATCACCCGAGGTCAGGAGTTTGAGACCAGCCTGGCCAACATGGCAAAACCCTGTCTCTGCTAAAAACACAAAAATTAGCCGGGCTTGGTGGCAGATGCCTGTAATCCCAGCTACTTGGGAGGCTGAGGCACGGGAAGTGCTTGAACCGGGGAGGCAGGGATTGCAGTGAGCCAAGATTGTGCCATTGCACATTGCACTCCAGCCTGGGTGACAGAACAAGTCTCCTTAAAAAAAAAAAAAAAAGATCACCTCTCCATTTTTCCTTCTTGGCAGCCCCTGGCAACCACTATTCTACTGCCTGTTTCCATGAATTTAACTACTTTTGATTCCACATATAATTTAGAACACGCAGTATTTTTCTAGCTTATTTCACTTAATGTCCTCCAGGTCTATATGTGTTGTAAATAGCAGGATTTCCTTCTTTTTTGAGGCTGAATAATATTCTAATATACATACATAACACAATTTCTATATTCATTCATCTCTTGATAAATTCATCTGTTGTTTCCATATTCTAGCTTTTATAAATAATGCTACAGTGAGGCACAGACAAGGTGGCTCATGCCTGTAATCCTAGCACTTTGGAAGGCCGAGGTGGACAGATCACTTGAGGCCAGGAATTTGAGACCAGCCTGGCCAACAAAATGAAACCCCATCTCTACTAAAACTACAAAAATCAGCTGGGCATCCATCTGTAATCCCAGCTACTTGGGAGCCTGAGGCAGGAGAATCACTTGAACCCCGGAGGTGGAGATTGCAGTGAGTCAAGATCATACCACTGCATTCCAGCCTGGGCAACACTGTGAGACTCCAGCTCAATAATAAGAATAAGAGTAAGAATAAGGAATAAAAATATACTGTTACAATGAACATAGGAATGCAGATATGTCTTCAGGATCCTAATGTCAATTCCTTTGGTTATATATCCAGAAATGGGATTACTGGATTATATGGTAGATCTACTAATTTTGTGAGGAAGCTTCAAACTGTTTTTTGTAATTACTGCACCAAGTTACATTCCCAACAGTAAACAAGGGTTTCCTTTTCTCCCACATCCTTGCCAACATTTTATATATATGTATATATATATAGTTTCATAACAATAGCCATTATTTTATATATAAAAGATAATGTTTTATTTATATATATGTTTTATATTAAAAGGATGTTTTATTTATATATGTTTCATATACCACACCCAGAGAATTTTTTGTATTTTTACTGGAGACGGGTTTCACTGTGTTAGCCAGGATGGTCTCGAGCTCCTGACCTCGTGATCCACCCGCCTCGGACTCCCAAAGTGCTGGGATTACAGGTGTGAGCCACCGCGTCTGGCCCCATTTCCTTTTTTGAGTCACATCCAAAAAAACATTGCCAATGTCAAGGAACATTTTTCCTATGGTTACTTCTATGAGTTTTGTGGTTTCAGTTCTAATGTTTAAGTATTTAAATCAATTTGATTTGATTTTTGTATATGGTATTAGATAAGGGTTCAATTTTTTTCTTTTTTTTTTTTCTTTTTTTTTGCCTGTGGCCATCCAGTTTTCTTATTACCATTTATTTAACAGATTTTTCTTTCCCCATTGTATGTTCTTAGTACCCTTGTAAAAACCTTATATGCATAGGTCATATTTATTTATTTCTGGGCTCTCCATTCTAATGTATTGGTCTATCTGGTTTTTTTTCTTTAATGTTAGTACCATACACTTTTGATTACTATAGCTTTGTAACATAATTTGAAATCAGGAAAGGTGATAATATCATTGGAATACTGATAGCAATTGCACTGAATGTGGAGACTGTTTTGTGTCATACAGAAATTTTAACAATACAAATTCTTCTGATCTATGAACATGAAATATCTTTTTGTTAATTTGTGCCTACTTCAATTTCTTCATTGATGTTTTGTAGTTTTCAGTGTACACAACTTTCACCTCCCTGGTTAAATTTATGCCTAAGTATTTTAAATTTTTTGCTGCTATTTTAAATTACACTGTTTTCTTGATTTTTTTTTCAGTTTGTTGTTTGTGTATAAAAATGCAACTAATTTTTGTGTGTTGATTTTATATCTTGCAACTTTCCTCAATTTGTTTACTAGTTCTAATATTTTTTGGAGGAAGCTTTATGTTTTCTACATATAATGTTATGTCATAAAGAGATAATTTTCTTTCTTTCTTTCTAAACTGAATGATTTTTATTTCTGTTTCTTGCCTAAGTGCTAGACTTTTTGTTATAGGTCCTAATGGCTAGATAAGATTTCCAGTACTATGCTTAATAGGAATGACAAGAGTGGGAATCTAAATTTATTCCTAATCTTAGAGAAAATGCTTTCAGCTTTTGACCATTGAGTATGATGTTAGCTGTGGGCTTGCCATATATATATATATATATATATATATATATATATATATATATGTATGTATATATACATATACATACACACACACACACACACACACACACACACACACAGACAAGTTCTTGCTATGTTGCCCAGGCTTGTTTTGAATTCCTGGCCTCAAGAAATCCTCCTGTCTCAGCCTCCCAAAGGTCTACAATTACAGGCATAAGCCACCACACTCAGCCACATTTTTTTTTCTACCTAAGAGTTTTAATCATCAATGAACATTTAATTTTTTCTAGTGTTTTTTCTGCTTCTTTTAGATGACCATGATTTCTATACTTAATTCTGTTAATGTGGTGTGTATTTATTGATTTGCATATGTTGAACCATCCTTATCCCACAAGTAACTCATACTTGATTATGATATGATTCTTTTCATGCACTATTGAATTTGGTATGGGAGTATTTTGTTGATGATTTTTACATCAATGGCTACTAGCAATTTTGGCATGTATTTCTTTTCTTGTGGTGTCCTTATTTGGCTTTCCTGTAACAATAATATTGGTCTAATAAGGTAAGTTTGAAATGTCCTCTCTTCTTTAATGTTTTGGAAGAGTTTGAGAAGGTTGGCATTAGCCTTCTATAAATGTTTGGTAAAATTCCCTAGTTAAGTCATCTTATTCTGGGCTTTTCTTTGCTGGGGTGTTTTGATTACTAACTTAACCTTCTTCTTTATGATAGGTTGGTTCAGATTTTCTATTTATTCATTGTTCAGTCTTGCTAGGTGTGTGTTTCTAGGCATTTATCCATTTCTTCTAGGTAATCCAACTTATTGGCATATAATTATTCATAGTATCCTCTTATGATTCTTTTTATTTCTATAGTATCAGTTGTAATGCCTCCTCTTTCATTTATAATTATATTTAACTAATTCTTCTGTCTTTTTTCTTAGCCTAGTTAGAGGTTTGTCAATTTTGTTTAACTTTTAAAGAATCTAATTCTTAATTTTGTTTTTTTTTATTGTTTCCCTATCTCTATTTTATTTGTATCTGTTCTAGTATTTATCACTTTCTTCCATATGCCCACTTTGGTCTGAGTTTGTTCTTTTTCTAGTTCCTTGAAGTATAATGGTAGATTATTTATTAGAGATACTTACTTTTTTAATGTAGGCATTTATTGCTATAAAATTCCATCAAATAACTGCATTTGCCACATTCCATAGCTTTGGTATACTTTGTTTTCATTTTTGTTTGTCTCAAGATAGTTTTTGATTCCTCCTTTGATTTCTTCTTTGACACATTGATTGGTCAGAACTGTCTTGTTTAATTTCCACATAATTGTGAGTTTTTTTAAGATTACCCATGATATTGATTTCTAGTTTCATACTATCGCAGTCAGAAAAAAAAACTTGATAAAATTTCAATCTTATTAAATTTGTTAAAAGTTCTTTTGTGTCCTAATATATGATCTATACTGGAAAATATTCCATGTGGCCCTAAGAAAAGGATGATTTTTTTTTGAAGTTTAATGGAATGTTCTTTATGTCTGTTAGGTTCATTTGGTCTAAAGTATAGTTCAAATTTGATGTTTTCTTATTGATTTTCTGTCTGGATGATCTATCCATTTTTAAAAGTGGGGACTGAAGTTCCCCACTATTATCGTATCACTTTAAATTTTTCCTTTCAAATATGTTAATTTTTGCTTTATATATTTAAATACACCAATGTGTGTGCATATATTTACTATTGTTACAAACTTTTGAAGAGTTAACTCCGTAGTCATTATATAATGCCCTTGTCTCTTTTAGTATTTTTGATGTGTAGTTTATTTTGCTTGATATAAATATAGCTACCTTGTTTTCCTTCGGTTTTCATTTGCATGGAATATCTTTTTCCATTCTTTACACTTTTAGCTTATGTGTCTCATAGGGTGAAGTGAGTTTCTTCTAGGCAGCATATAGTTGGGTTTCAATATTTAATCCATTCAGTTACCTTTTCTCTTTTTTCTTTTTTTTTCTAGGTGGAGTCTCATTCTGTCACCAGGCTGGAGTGCAATGATGTGATCTCAGCTTGGCTCACTGAAACCTTCACTTCCTGGGTTCAAATGATTCTCCTGCCTCAGCCTCCAGAGTAGCTGGGACTACAGGGATGTGCCACAACACCCAGCTGATTTTTGTATTTTTTAGTAGAGACAGGGTTTCACCATGTTGGCCAGGATGGTCTCTAACTCTTGACCTTATGATCCGCCTGCCTTGGGCTCCCAAAGTGTTGAGATTACAGGCATAAGCCACGGTGCCCAGCCTATCTTTACTTTTGATTGGATAATTTAATATATTTACATTTAAAATAATTATTGATAGGTAAGTAATAGAGCCTATATATTGCCATTTTGTTCATTGCCATTTTTTTCTTGTTTTCTGTTTTGTGTTTCTTTTGTTCTTTTCTTTCTCTCTTACTGACTTATTTTATGATTTGATAAGTTTTTTTGTTGTGGTGTGCTTTGATTTATTTCTTTATATTTTGTGTATCTACTTCAAGTTTTCTCTATGATTATCATGAAGCTTATATGTCACTTTTTTATTTATACAAGTGTATTTTAGTCTGATGACAACAAAATTTTGATCACATACAACACCTCCCTGATTGTCTGATTGTCTGTAACTTTACTTCCTCCCTCATGTATTATGTTATTGATGTCACAATTTACATATTTTCATATTCGTATCCATTAACACATTGTTGTTACCATAGTTGTTTTAAACACTTTTGTCTTTCAATCTTATATTAGAGTTAAGCTTAAAATATAAACCATCATTAAAACACTACAACATGATTCATTTTACTATATAGTTACCTTTACCAGTGAGCTTTTAACCTTAATATGTTTTCATGGTGCTGATTTGAGTCTTTTCATTTCAGCTTGAAGAACTCAGCGTTTTTTACATACGCTAGATCTAGTGCTGATGAACTCCCTCTTTTTCTTTTGTCTGAAAAAGTCCATATCTTTCTCCTTTATTTCTAAGGGACAACTTCACAATGTATAACATTCTTGGTTGGCTTTTTTTTTTCCTTTAGCACTTTGGATATATTTTCCTACTCTGCTATCCTGCTAGGTTTCTGTTGAAATCTCCTGATAATTTTATGTAGGTTCCTTTATATTTGATAAGTAACTTTTCTCTTGCTATTTTCAACATTCTCTTTGTTGTTGATCTTTGATAATTTTATTACAATGTGTCACAATGAAGTCCTCTTTATCTTTAACCTATTTGGAGTTCCTTAAGCATCACGAGTGTTCATAAAGGGATGCTCATTTCCCTCTTCAGATTTGGAAGACTTTCTGTCTTATTTCTTTAAATAAGCTTTCTGTCCCATCTTTCTCGGCTTCTTCTGGGACTCCTTCTGTGTATATTGGTTTAAGTCATTGTTTCCCATGAGTCATATAGGCTTTCTTCATTCTTTTTCATTCTTTTTCTTTTTTTTCCCCTCTGACTATATAATTTCAAATGATCTGTCTTTGAATTTATTGACTCTCTTTTTCATTTGATTGATTCTGCTCTTGTGTCTCTCTTTTGAACTTTTTACTTCAAACATTGAATTCTTCAATACATAATTTCTGGGTTTTAAAATAATGATTTATATCTCTTTATTGACTTTGCCATTTTGTTCATGCACTGTCCTCTTGATATTGTTAATTGCTCTCTCTGTTCTTTTGGAGCTCACTGAACTTATTTATAAAGATTGTTTTGAATTGTTAGGCAATTCATAGATGTCTATTTGTCTGGGGTAAGTCACTAGAGCTTGATTTTGTTTCTTTCATGTTATTATAACTCCTTGACTCTTCATGTTCCTCTAAGTCTTGCATTGCTGTTTTTGCACTTGAGGAAGCAGTTCCTTTCTCTAGTCTTTACTGACTACCTTTGAAGAGAAAGACCTTCACCAGTCAACCTGCTTAGAGATGTTAGTGGCCTCCAAGGCCTTTACTATGAATAGGTTCCTGCTCCGCTTGTCTTGTTATATTTGAGTGGGAAAATCTGAGGATTATGTGTCTTCTCTTGATCCTGCAAAGCCAGGATGGTTCTTAGACCCTCTCATTTATTTTTCTAGGACAGTGCCTTAAAACATTCACCATAGTTTGCCCCCTCCCAAAACCAACAGGGTAAAGCTAGCTGCTAAGATCTGAACCTGCTGTTGAGATCCATGTACTGCCTACAAAAGCTCATGTGGGCCATTAATAGAAACATATGGGGTGCCAACAATGCAGGAGTGGGTGAGCAAGTACATAGAGTGCTGGAGGCATGTGTTGGCTGGTTGAGAGGGTTCCTCAGGCGAGTCATATTGCAGGGATCGTGGGTGGGCCACTTGGGGGAATCCGGTAGCAGGTTAGCAGGATTTGCAGCTGGCTCTCGAGAACTGCCTAATGGTTGCTATATGCTCCCTTGTCATTTCCCTGCTTTTAGCTGTCCCCAGATGATTTAGTTGTGCTGACCTCTCAGTGCTCTGGTGGGATGAAACAGAAGCAGGCCTCCTGGGCAGTGTCCCACAAGACTGGGGAAGCCTAATGCTTACTTTTCTCCCACTTCTCCCCATGTGAGAAATTGCAGGCTGAGGGTGCCTCTCTTGGCACTGAGCTGTGCTACTTTGGAGGAAGGGTAATGCACATAATATGAAACTGCTCTATTATCGTCTTTAGTGTGTCTACTCATAGAATTTTTTTTTTTTTTTGTCTCACTGGGATACTACACTCTGTGGCTAGACTCTGCGGCTCCCACGAATGTACTCTTGTCTATGGTGTTTGCCAAATGTGTGTGTCTGTTGGTGGATGGGAGATGAAACTTCCTATTCTACCATCTTGTTAACATTATTTTCTGGAAACTTGTTTTTGTAACACCTAGAATACCCCTTCTCTTGGTGTTATTTTAAAATTTAAAATGATTTTATTGCACCTTAAATGTTTAAGCAATGTTTTTTTTTAGCACAGAATATGTATCCATATTTATCCTTCACCCAGCATTCGGAGTGATCTTTTAAAAAATATATGTAGGTTTTATGTAGCTGCTGTATTTTAAAATGTTTATTGGCTTCTTATTGTCTTTTGAATAAGGATATAAATTTCTTAACATGCCTTATATAGCTCAGTATATTTTGAGATGATCACCCTTGCTCACCAAGTTTCAGATGCAAAGGAATTCCTTCAATTTGCAGAGTCCTTTGTCTCCTTGCAGAGACATCTTCACAAAGTCAGTCCTTTGGTTGGCCCACAAATCTCCCTTCCTTTACCCCAATTCATTTTTGCCTAGCAAGTTCTTATTGATTCCCCACTTAAGTGTTTTAATATTTCTCCCTTAGAGAATGATTTCTTTTTTCTGACAACTGCTCCTTGCTATCAGTAGGTCAATTTCAAAAAAAAAAAAAAAAAAAAAAAGATAAAAAAAGAAAAAAATGCATGCTTCCCCAAAGGATATAAAGCATCTGTAATTAACTATCTCATTGAATTGTTTGTTTGACAGCTGGTCCCTCCTCTAGTAAGCTCCTCAAGTTCCTCAAGGATAATCAACATGTCTCCATCACTCAGTGTTGAAACCCCAGTGACTACCACAATTCCTGGCACACAGTTGGCACAAAAATTTATATTTGTTGCAAGAATGAATGGATGAATGAGTACATGAACAAAGGTACAAACTACACATTATATGAACAAATAAAAATTATAGGAAAATTATTTTGGGCTTAATAGAAGCGATAGGCTTAATATTATACATATTTTTTGCTATAATAATATTTGTGGATTTATATTTTAATGCTTTAGTTCGATTGAATTTTGGAATAACTTCTAGAGGTTTTGAACAATTGCGATAAGACCAGTGTCTACATATACTTGTTCTATAAATTAGAATGTTCTTTATTCTTCTCCCTGGGGTAGGGTGACATAACAAAGGCGTGTTCTCTAGTTCTGGCAAGGCTGCTGCATCTATAGAGACTCCCTGATTAAAATTCTGTCTCTTTATGAAACAGAAAAAGATGACTCAGAACACTTGGGGATCTGAAAGCCTCCAACATGAATTTCAAATTTCTACTGTTAGAATGCAGAAAAGCAAGTGAGATTCTAAACAGTTCCTTCTTCTATGGACCGCCCCTATGTCTTTTTGTGAACCAGTCGATGAGGACAATGAATAATGAAAATGTTTACTTGCATAAACATGTACATATGTGTTTCTTGTTGTTAGAGACAAAATACATCTTAGAGAATATAGAGAGGTCTGTGCCTTAGGCAATGTTGCCTGGACATAACTAACCTAATTTTCTATTAAATCTTGGCATCTGTAACATTTGTGATAGAATCTACAATACTCTTTTCAGATTAGTTGGATGCCACTAAACATTGCTGATATACATTTGGTAAATAAAATGAACACAATGTGAATGTGAAAGGTCTCTGGTTACTACTGATGATTAAAAGAGTCTAAAACATTCTTGTTAAAAGGTGAAAATCAAATTCAGGAGGTGGTGTTGGCATATCTTATTACTGCAAAGGGCAAAATCTGCTTCTTTTCTCAAACTTGGCTGAGGCAGTTACCCTGATCTCATTAGAGTTAACAAAATGCCAAATACTTGAATCTGTTTGCTATTTGAGTGCTTCTATTCTTCTAGATTTCAATATAAAATATAACCTGAGTCCAAAGCCCTATTTTCCACCTTAACACACTCTACTCTCTTCTAGCCCTTAGCTTGATCTCAGAGCAAAAATAACTTGCTGAAAGCGGTCATTCTTGATCACTCTATATCGAAGAAGTTCCCGTATTTTCTATTTTTCTATCTCAATAACTTATATGTAGGGTATGTATCACAATTTCTTTATCATTTATCTTTTTATTTCTTTTAAAAATATTTACTGATAGTTCTTAAGTATCAGAAGGATAGAGACCATGTTCACCATTTTTTCTTCATTTTTATTTCTGCAATTCCTAGAAGAGTACTATGCATAGAGTAAATGCTCAAGAAATATCCAATGAATGATCTGATTGAATTGTTTATTTCTTCAATAATTTGAGTGTATGTTATCTAACTGAATGAATATATATTAATTATTACTCATGTTAAGCAGACAGACAACTCAGGCTTAAAGAAAATGCATGACTTGCCCATATTTGTTCAGCTAGTGAAGAACAGAGGTAGAATTTGAACTTAGGACTTCTTTTTTCCACATCACTATTCTAAAAGCATTTTTCTTACTGCTCCCAGTATCCTGGGAAAAAGACAGGATAGGAAACTAATATTTCTGAACCCTCTGCTAGTATTCGCCCATATTATCTCACTTACTATATATTTTTTTGTTGTTGTTTTTTGAGACAGAATCTCGCTGTTACCCAGGCTGGAGTGCTGTGGCATAGCCTCGGCTCACTGCAACCTCTACCTCCCGGGTTTAAGTGACTCTCCTGACTCAGCCTCCTGAGTAGCTGGGACTACAGGCGTGTACCACCACGTCGGGCTAATTTTTGTATTTTTAGTACAGATGGGGTTTCACCATGTTGGTCAGGCTGGTCTGAAACTCCTGACCTTGTGATCCGACTGCCTCACCCTCCCAATCACTTGATATTTTTAACAATCCCATGAGGAAGGTATTGCTTATTGCTACTGTCTTTTTCTACATACATGTCCTTTCATCTTTGCTGAGCAACACATTAGATTTTGGAGTTTTAAAGCACTCATACACATTCTGTTTCTCATTTGATAAGCTCTGGGTTTGACACTCATTTTCTCTATTTTTCAAAAGTTAAACCAGTGGTTATAATATATGGTTAGACTTAAAATATTTTTATGTGAGTAAAAGGGGCTATTAGATGGTAAATCTCCAAGGTTAAATGGTGAATTTGTCACTTGAACATCAGCTTCCAAAGCCCATCTATTTTTTTTTTAGCCATACTGTAGAACAATGTACTTTCTCCTTCTCATTAAAATTGATCTCAAAATAACCCACCAATTTCACCACATAGTTCGCTCTTATAATTTTCTTGTAGAATCTTATGTAGCCAAACATTTTTTCTTGCAATTATTCTTAACCACACAGAACATCTGTACACCATCTAGGAAGAGATAAACCCACATGAACACATTTTGCCTTAGATATTTAAATACTTATAAAATCTATTTTCTCTGAGAGGACATAAATCACTCTTTGGCTGATTAAAATGTACAAATGAGTATTAATATTCCACCATTTTTTAATATTTATTTATTGAATATTTATAAATTTCAAGATAGTTTACTAAGTGTTGGAGATAGAATGATAAATGATATCAACACGGACCCACCCTTTAAATACAGTTAACATTTTAGAGGAAAGACAGATGTAATTAAATTCTTATGAGCACTGCAAGGAGAAATAGAGGTTACCAAAGTTTATATGGCAAGGAAAAGTGACCCTTCTGGGGAATCAGGTCAACTTTATAAGCTATTCATTGCATACATCTGGGGGTGGGGGAGAAAATGGAAATTGGAAGAAGAGAAGGGAGTTGTCAAGGTGACATGATGATTCTGGCTTGCAAAACTGAATACAGATGGCTGTGCCATTTACTTAACTGGGTAACACTGGAAGAATGCCAGGTTAGTATAATAAAACAGAGATGATCACAAGAGGAGACATGTACATGTTGAGTTTGGGATGTAGATATCTCCAGAAGTCCTGGAGATGTATAATCTAGAGCTTAAAGAAGTGGCCTGGGATATGTAAATATAGAGGTATTCAATATTAGGTGATGAATGATGAAGAACTCACCTAAGGATAGAACACTAAGTAACTATATTAGAAGTCTTAAGACTAATCTTTGAGGAACTCTAGTATCTAAAATCCAGATGGAGGCAAAGGATCCAGGAAAAGAGTTTGAAATAAATAGACAGAGAGGTGGGAGGATGAACATGAAAGGATGGCATTATGAAGCCAGAGGAATAAGTACTGAGAGGTCAAGAAAATGAAAAATAAAATATGATGAAGTGTTCCTTAGTGATCTTATCTAGGGACATTGTGGCTTATTGACAGGAGATAAAAGACAAGTTGCAATAGGTTGTTGAGTGAGTGGCAAGTAAAGGAAACAAGAAGATGCAGAGACTCCAGAGTTCCAGAATTCAAATGGAGCAGCTGGCTTTAGATAGGAGGAAATACATTTTCTTTTTTACTGAAGGAAAAGTTGAGGAGAGATTTGATACATTTTCAGTAATTTGTAAACGTGGCAGCAAAAAGTAAGGGATATTTCTGTTTGATGGCTTCTATTTTCTCTGTACAAGAATATGTGGTATTCTAAGAGTGATGGGGCATTATCAGTTAGCTATTGCTGAGTAACAAACAACCAACCTCAAATCTTAGGGGCTCAAATTGGCAGCCACTTATTACTTCTCCTGCATTTGTGGATGGCAAGGCAGTTCAGTGTATCTGGACTAAGTTCCATTGATTTTGGGCTGGGCTTGCTGCCTGTAGTCAACTGCCAGGTGAATTATGAGCTGGTTGACCTAGAATGACTTCAGCTAAGACCATGCACTTCCCCTGCAAGTTTCCTATAGTCCTACAGCAAGTTCGATAAGGCTTGTTCTAATACTAGTGGCAGTATTCCAGGAAAGAAAACAGTTATGGACTGAATGTTTGTGTCACCCCTAAATTCATATATTAAAGCCCCCCCAACCATCAATGTGACCATATTTAGAGATAAAACTTTTAAGGAAGTAACTAAGATTAAATGAGATCATAAGAGTGGGGCTTTGATCAGACAGAACTAACATCTTTAGAAAAAGAGATACCAGAAAGCTATCTATTTCTTTCATTCTCTCTGTTATGTGAAGACACCATGAGACAGGGGCTATCAGCAAACTGGAAGAGGTCCTCCATCAGAACCTGACCATGATATGCTCTGATCTTAAACTTCCAGCCTCCAGAACTGTGAGAAAATAAATTTCTGGCATTTAAGCCACCCTGTCTACATTATTTTGTTATGGAGCCAGCATAGGTGAACATAGAAACAAACAAAACATACATGTCATTTTTTAAGCTTTGGCTTGCATCAAGTATGCTATTATCTCATTGGTAGCACATCCACACTCAGGTAGCAAATCCACACTCAGATTCTAAGTGGGAAAGAACCCCAAAGTTATAAGGAGGGCATTCACTAAAGCTAGTTATGCAACAAATACAACAGGGAGGGGAAAGTGGTTATGACTATTTGGGAAGAATGAACAATGTTTGTTTGCTGTGCATTATATAAAATTGATTGATAAGATAAACATATTAGTCATTTTAGTCTGTGATGAAGGCCTGGTTTCAGTTAGTAATCATGAAGTTGTAGTCATACTAATCAACTTTGTATTATGACTTTTTCCCCCAAGAATGCTAGGGTACCAGATGTGTTAGTCAGCTTGGGCTACCATAACAAAGTAGCATAGACTAGGTGGCTTAAAAAACCAGAAACTTATTTTTTTTCAGACTTCTGGAGGCTGAAGTCTGAGAGCAGGGCTTTCTTCCTGGCTTGCAGAGAGCTGACTCTCACTATGTACTTACATAGCCTTTCCTTGGTATATATAAACCATGGTCTTCTATATAATAAAGAGACTCTTCTCTCTCTTCCGCTTATAAAGCCACCAATCATGTAGAATTAGGACCCCATCCTTATGAAATCATTTAACCTTAATTACTTCCTACAGGTTCTATCTTTATGTACAGTCACATAATATGCTAGCTTTCAAAATACAAATTTTGTAGAGATATTCGGTTTATAGCACCAGGGTACAGAAATCATTTAACCTTAATTACTTCCTACAGGTTCTATCCTTATGAAATCACTTAATCTTAATTACTTCCTACAGGTTCTATCTTTATGTACAGTCACATAAGATGCTAGCTTTCAAAATACAAATTTTGTAGAGATCATTCGGTTTATAGCACTACAGTACAGAAGTGAGAAGATGGCATTGTTTTTTCTTTATAAAGGTTTTGCCAGATGATAATGAAAATAAGAGGATCAGTGGAATCAGTGTTATTGGTTAGAGATGATTTAAAGTCCAATCTGAAAATGGAGGGTAAATGAAGAGGAAGAAGGTGATGGAGAGGGAGATGGAGAGTAAGAAAACAGTTGCCGCTAGATTGGAAATGCAATTGCATATAACAGCAGTGGTGAAGCAATCAAGCTGAAAATACATCAGTTAAGCAACTAGAATTAATTATTTGGGATATAGAGTAGTTTTAGGGATGGCAAGATTCAGAGTGTATTCATGGACATGGATCATGGAGGAGGTTAAGAAAATCTCATTGCAGAGGAGGATTAAACAGAACTGAGAGGGCAAGTGTGTTGTAAAGGTTGCCCATGTGTGTTGATGTCTTCGAATCGAATGGCAGGGACCTGGGGGGAGAAAGCCCATGCAAAACAGTGGTATTTTCCATAAATGAAAAGATTGACTCAGAAAGATGTGAATGACACCAACTAGGACATTTCCCTCCCTTTAATGTTTCTGGATAATCACCCGTTAAATGCACACATTGGGCTTTAAAATTTTATTTATAGGAATAATCACCTTACGATTTGCAACATGAAGCTCTTCCAGTAAGAGGAGTAAGTGTTTTGTTTTCTGAAGCACTCAAAGAAATGAGATAGGTCAGTTTTTCTACATTTAGTTAATCAGCCAAAGGAAAGGCCAAGACTGAGGTTATGTGACTTGCTATTGTATTTGTTTTTCTAGCTTTTTAGCTGACAGATGGCTCTTCGATTTCTTCTCCCCTCCAAGCTTCTGCTTTGCTAAGTCAATCTTCCATTGTCACGTCTCTGAGATCTGGAGGGGCTCAGATGCCTGAGTTATTTTTCTGTGTATTTATATAGCACCTCTCATTGTAGTCTTTTTGAAGAAGGTTAACAATCTTCAAGAAAGATGCCATCAGTCTTCTTCCCAGATGAAAAATGCTAAATACAGGAACAGCCAAGAATGATGGTAAAATTCCTTGAACAGACGTTATCCTACACCCACTCTACCTTTCTTTACATGTTTTTCACTTGGAAATAACAGAACTTACTTTTAAGATGCATGGTTTCTGATAGGCCTTTCAAAATATTTTACTTCCTTTTATTTTATTCTCTGTAGTTGCACATAGAAGACATATGATCTGGGGTTTTAAGTACAACATACAAGTTTCCTTCTTCATTTGGTAAGCCTTTCTGATATCCCCTAGGAGAAATTGGCTTACTTCCTCCCAATCAATACAATAATAATTAATAATACCTCTATAAAAACAACACATTCATATGCCTATCTTCTCAATTTTTTTTTTTTGTTTTGAAACAGTCTCGCTCTGTCACTCAGGCTGGAGTGCAGTGGTGCTATCTCGGCTCACTGCAACCTTGGCCTCCCCGATTCAAGTGATTCTTCTGCCTCAGCCTCCTGAGTGCCTGAGATTTCAGGCACCCGCCACCATGCCCAGCTAATTTTTGTATTTTTAGTAGAGATGCTGTTTCACCATATTGGCCAGGCTGGTCTCGATCTCCTGACTTCATGATCCACCCACCTCAGCCTCCCAAAGTGCTGGGATTACAGGCGTGAGCCACCGTGCCCAGCCAATTTTTTTTTTTTTTTTTTTTTTTTTGAGATGGAGTCTCACTCTGTCAACCAGACTAGAATGCAATGGTGCTGTCTTGGCTCACTGCAACCTCTGCCTCTGGGGTTCAAGCAGTTCTCCTGCCTCAGCCTCCCACGTACCTGATCCTACAGTCATGTGCCACCACGTCTGGCTAATTTTTGTATTTTTAGTAGAGACGGTCTCACTATGTTGGCCAGGCTGGTCTTGAACTCCCGACCACAGGTGATCTGCCTGCTTCAGCTTCCCAAAGTGCTGGAATTACAGGCATGAGCCACCATGCCTGGCCATCTTCTTAATTTTGAAATGACCCACACTTAGCACAAGGCTTGACAATTAATAATAGCTAGCATGAATGTTATTTGCCAAGAACTAGCTAAATACTTTACTATTGTTCATTTATTTAGCCCTTCTAAAGAAATATATGATAGTAGAAACTGTTCCGCTGAATAAAGTTAGGGGAAATAATTCGTGGCAGAGGGATTGTTTGTAAAGAAAGCCTCAAGTCAAAAGAGTTTGGCACCCTTAAAGATATTAGAAGTCCATTATGCCTTGGACTGCAGACAGTTAAAGACTGAATGATGGAGAACAACCTCAACTGTCAACTGGCAGTCAGGAGTCAGATTGTAGAAGATCATATGTCACTTTAGGATATGGAATTTTATATTAAGCAGAATGGAAAGTCATTCAGAGTTTCAGTAAATAATTACCAAGTAAGTGTTGAGTGAATTTAACTGAAGAGAATATTAGTAATATTTATAATATTATCTGAAGTATATCGTAAGAGATTTCAGTATCTGCAGGCTAACATTGGTTTTTAAACACGTGTCTCTACCCAGCTGTCTTAACATAAAACATATATTATTCTGTGGCCCTTATGTACTAAATATGATATGATAAAGACTGGGGAAATTTGTAAAGGAAAGCAACCAAGGCTACCTTGAAGACAGGTCTCTCTCCTGCTTTTTCTGATTTCCTGCTGAGATCCAACAGAAAAACCCATCCCATAGGGAAGTGAGAGGGGAAGGAAGCTCTGATGTGATCCTTACAGATCAACCTCCTGGGGCAGAGTAGGATGGAAAAGAATAGGTCAGGACAGAACAACAGTGAGAACTTGAGGTGAATGTTAAATTTGTGCTCTAGGCGCCTAACTTTACCCTTGCCCTAGCTCTGGATTGAGAGTGAATCTGATTTTTATTTACTTGTAGCCAGAAATATCCTCACTAGTGGAAGGTACTTAGAACGCCTGGATTTGAATAGTTTACAGTTGTTTGTCTTCAGCTAACTTGCTTTATCTTCTCTAAACCATACTGCCCTCATCTATAAAATGTGTTTGCCTTGAAGGTTCATACGGAGCAGTTAGATAAAATGCTTAACACACTAGCATTGTAATGCCAAGAAAATATAGTCGCCCCTCTGTGTTCTTGGAGGATTTGTTTGTTCCAGGGCCCCTGCAGATACCAAAATGTATAGATGTCCAAGTTCCTTATATAAAGTGGCATGCTATTTGCATATAACCTATAAACACCCTCCCATATACTTTAAGTCATCTCTAATTGCTTATAATACCCAATACAATTTAAATGATATGTAAAAAGTTGTTACATTATATTGTTTTTATTTGTACTATTTTTCATTATTGTAAATAATTCTTTAAACCTTTATTGTTTTTTTTTCTTAAATATTTTGGATTGGCAGTTGGGTGGATGCAGAACTCTGCGATGTGGAAACTGCAGGTGCAGAGGACCAGTTATAGTAGAGCATAATTATTATGCTGATGATGGATTGGAATTAGATTAAGTTTCTACTCAGAGTTGCTTGTCTTTGTCTTCCTTGAAGCTTTATGTCTTTCCAAGAAGTGCAGGTCATTGGATTTTAAGCCACACAACAGGTAAACAGAGATACTTTGGGACTGGAGAGCATGGGTGTTCATGAATATTATCTTGGAATATAACATGCCTAGTTTAGTTAAAGATGCATTGAGGTGGTATTCTAGTTACTCTGGGTGAGTCAAAGAATATGAACCTATTCTCTGCCCACAAGGAGCTTGCTGACGAATTTTAAACGTTAAGGAAAATATGTATTAATGGGAAGTAAAGCTATGTTTCGGAACTTATTTAAATTTTTCTTTGAAGTTTTTTTCACAGTGCCTAAGGGAGCAGGGTTAAAGCATAAAATGACTCATCTCAACCTGTACCAAAATTGGAGTCAAGATTTGTAACATTTTTTCAAATGAATACAATTTTGGGGCTATATTAATGCATAATGTAAAATGCAATCTATAAAAACCTTTTTGAAGAGCGATTAAATTCTATACTATAAGACATAAAAATCCCATAATCTGTCATAGTTCTTTGGCATCATAGAGAAATACATGACACTCAAGTTAGCTGAGAGTGCACAGTTGCTGGAGAATAGATTCTATTACCATGGCAACCTGATTTGAGATTCACAAGGTATGTTTTAACCTAGGCTCCTGACTTGGGAATGAATACAATCAAATCATTAGATAACTAAATTGCTGAAACAGCACGTGAGAAGTACAAGTATATTTAAGGGAAAATCTCTCTCGAATCTAAATTATCATCTGTCTATGATGAATCAGAATAATACCAGCCTGCATTCAGCAGTGATTTCTATTTCAAGCTGTTCTATGTAAAGGTTTGGTTATTTCTTTTCATCTAGATCTATAATATGTACATTTTTGAAATTGTTACTTAATTGCATACAATGTGACCAAATAGAGAGTTTCCTTATCTATAAAATGAAGGGGTTGGAATAGATGGTGTTTCAACTTCCTAATTAATGAGGCTAATGAGATGGGTGCTGTTGGTTTATGATCCCAGCAGTGGTTTTGTGGGGCCTCTTAAATTCTTCCTCAATAGTCTTAAAATGCTTTTTTCTCTCAGTTATTTGCAATGTGCTTAGGCATGGAACAATTTAGAGACAAGTGTGAGATACCTGTTCAAATTACCTGAAGCTAAGAAAAGGACAATTATTGGAAACATGCAAACATTAGCACATGAACTTCAAGGCAAGAAAATGATCCCATATCTTAATAATGGCTGGAATTATAATTGAAAAGTTATTGGCAACTTTGCAGCTTCTCTCTCTCATCATCATTATCATCATTATCCTCATCATCATCATCACTTCTCTACTTTTCTTTCTACATTTGCTTTATTATTTTTTCTCTAGTGCCAACTTTCTTTGCTGTATATGCATATGGGCCCAACATGGCTGCCTCACACTCAGATCTACATTATACTCTAGTTTAGGTACTTAGTAGATATGGTCTAGGACCATGATTTCCAAAATATTTCCTCATGAGATCCAGACCTATGTATTCTTGTGGTATACCAGATAGACACAGGTAAAAAGAAAAGAGTTCAGTACAGATGCAACCATCCTTAAAGCATCCTTAAACCATCCAAAAACAAAGATATATATATATATATATATGTGAATGTGTGTGTGTGTGTGTAGGCATATACACACATACATATCCTCCTGTATTCACTAAAATAATATTTAAATTATTTAACTCCTTACACATTTTAAGTTGTCACCTGAGATTTTTCATCACAAGTTTAATAGTTTCAAAAGATGTTTTCTGGATAATTGTTTATGCTGTATTGGCTTTTAATACATATCCTCCCCAATATGTTTGGCCATCATTCAATCCACTGAGCGACCAAATAGAACAAAAGACAGAGGAAAGAGTAATTTACTCATTTTTCTTCCTGCCTCACTGCTTGGGCTGGGACCGCTCATCGCATCTTCTCCTGCCTTCAGGCTGAATTCTACCACTGGCTTTCTTGACTCTCCAGCTTGCGGATGACAGTTTGTGGGACTTCTCAGCCTCCATAATTGCATAAGCCAATTAATACTAATGATGTATAAATAGACCAATATCTATCTCTCTATCTATCTATCTATCTATCTAACATCTATCTATTTATCTATCTATCTATAAATACAATACAATATACATATATTCCATTGGCTCTGTTTCTCTGGAGAACTCTGACTAATACTAATGATAGATGAATGGATGGGTAGGTAGGTAGATAATGAAGAGACACATAGATGGCCAAAGTCAGGAGCCTTTGGAGTAAAATTTCTATACTTTTCACTAACATGCTGACTTTTTTGTTTGTTCTCTTGGCTCTCTTTCTTAGCATCGATGAACTTTGACATTTCCCTTTGTTTGGTGCTTGAATTAATCAGACCAAAGGGCAATGAAATCTGAAAGATTCATTGCAGGCAGAAAAATGCTATTCTTCATTTAGAGCATGAGGAAAAAGCCATTTTAAAAGGGGGGGATAGTTATGGAAAATTAGAAGACAATACACTTTTTTCAGCAATATCACCTTTAGGAAAGACTACATGCAGAAGCTGAGTATCCGGAGGTAAATTTCCCTAAAACCATGCATGACTGTATAAACCCTGGAAAGCCTGCAAGTGGATAACCTCATCATGCAACTTGCTCAGTTTGAAGACTGAATTCTGGACTCTGCCAGTGCTTCAAATAATATGGTCTATGGATGAAATGTTCTGGAAACGTGTGGGATACTTATTTTGAAAAACAAAAAAGATATTGTAGACCCAGCTCCAAATCTGATGGTGAACTCTGGAGGTGTGGCCACAGAATTAGGCTTAAAGCTCTCCAGGTGATTATTATACATATGACCTTCTAGATTCTAGATCATTCTTTTGGAAACACTGCTCTCGTCCAAACAACAACAAAGGAGCAATAAAAGGGAACTTTAATATAAATATATATATATATATATATAAATATATATATATATATATATAAAGAACTTTAATATAAACAACAAAAGAGCAATAAAAGAGAACTTTAATAATTTCCCTACCTCTCAACATACATAAAAGGAGATCAAGTTCATAACCCCTAGCAATATTTCTCAAATCTCCCATTTTTTCTCCCCAACTCTATCATGCCCAACATTCCCACTGCCATTACCCTCCAAAAAGCAAGCCAACCAGCCAAACATGCCCCACTCCACCCTCCACTCCTGATTATGTGGATTGACCTCACAAAGTCCTTCTTCTTCTCTCACTTCTTCCTACCATTTTTATCTCCAATTCTTTGCTAGGTCATCACAAAAATGCACTAGAATAATGAGATCAAATACAAATTTGCTGCTATGGGCAGAAGACAGGCAGATGCTTTGCTGCAGAGAATGTGGAATTTGATGCCTTTTTCCTGGCTCCTGTAATCTCATTGACTGGAGAGAAGCCTCATGAAAGAGGTGTTCCAGGAAGTCTGCGTGATATTTACAAAAAATCATAATATGTGCTAAGTCATAGGCTTACTATACCTTATTTACTGCCTTCCACACTCACACATAGCTCCATGAACTTGTGAGAGAGGTTTTTGGTGCTACACAAGCCCCATGGCTTGGGTTTCTCTCCCTTTGATCAGAGCAATGTGCACAGAGAAATAATTTTTTAAAACTCACTTTTAAAAAAAATGAGTTCATCTATATGTGAACTGGCAGATATACCTTCTGAAGAATAAAATAGAAGGAAAAGTTACAGCAGGCTGAGTTCTCTGGAAATGTGTGCAGAAATGTGTGGGCTGCAAGAGCTTTATCAGGGTCAAAACTGGTGAAAGAAATGGGAGATAGAAGGATTGGATAAAGGGAGAAATTTAATTGCCATGCAGGATTGACAAAGCCTCGGCCTACCCTGCTGGGACCTCTGGGTGTATATGGATGGACAGTTTCCCCATTTTGGCAGAAATTGCCAGGTCCTTATATCCTCATTTCTCTGTCACAGAAGTGGGCCTCCCTGGGAAAGAAATGACCTGGGAAGAGATTGGTCTCCACAGCTAAAGAAGACCCTCTGAATGGGTTCAATGCTAAAGATTGCCTGCTGACCACACTCCCCTCAACTTGGGAGTCTCTATGAAGGGGAATGTAGGTCATGCCTTTCTAAGTCTGTCTTGGAAATGAGAAGTGAAATAAAGAAAGAGGGAGAAAGAAAAGTAACAGTGGTTTTGAAAATGAAAAGATAGAAGGAGCTTTCTTTGGAAAGGGGCATGAGAAGTGGAAAAAATAGCTATTATGCTAGAATGGCTTCAGGGAGATAGATGGTGAAACAAAATTCTAGGGTATTCTGTGCTTTATTCAATTAAGTTTCCTATCAGCATTTTTTAAAGAGAATCATTATATATAGAATAATTGTGTGTCCCAATATTCATATGTAAAAACACTAAAACAAACTCCACCAAATGTGACAGTATTAGAAGTAGGACCTTTGGAGATAATTAGGATAAGATTGGGTTATGAGGGCAGAGCCATTGTGAATAAAATTAGCGCCCTTGTAAGAGTCATGAGAGAGCTTGCTTCCCCCTTCTACTCTCTGCCAGGTAAGGATAGGATGAGAAATTGGAAGTCATCAACCCATAAGAGGGCTTTCACCTGACTATACTGGCACACTGATCTTGGACTTCCAGCCTCCAGGACAGATATTTAAGAAATAAATAGCTGTTGTTCATAAGCCACCCACTCTCTGATAGTTTTGTTGTAGCAGCCTGAGCTAAGACAAGACTTAAGTAAACATTTCAATTCCTTTTTAGTTCTTGTTCTATCTGCAATACTGGGAATAGGCTGAATACAAGTTTTCTGTGAGTAACAAAAGGATTGTCATTCCCTTGTTTAAAACCCTTCTGTGACTTTCCATGATCCTCGAGATACAAACTTCCCAAAATGACAAACAAGACCTTGCCTTTAGTGGACTCTACTCTCCTCTCTTCACGCTTCCTCTTATACAAGGGTACATTCAAGCTACATCATAAATACCTAGCTGGTGTGTACCCATCCTTCTAACTTTTCACACATACCTTTTCCTCTGTTTGAATCACTTCTCTTCACTTAGCTTCCTTTTCCCTCAAGTTTCAACTGAAACGCCACTTTCTCAGAAAGCCTTCCATAATGCCAACACCACAATTGTACTCTATCACAACTACATTTTTCTTTCAAAACATTCATAGTACTCCAAATTATTAATTTATCTTAATTTC
Organism: Homo sapiens; assembly: GCF_000001405.40. Lineage (NCBI taxonomy): Eukaryota > Metazoa > Chordata > Mammalia > Primates > Hominidae > Homo > Homo sapiens. Next base: position 168,708 of record NW_003315919.1, read on the forward strand.
TGTATTCCCTAAGAGGCTGAAAATTTGATGAGGATAAGGAAGCATCTGTTTTGTTCATCACTGCATCTCAGTGCTTCATGTGGGAAAGGAAGGTTTTAATGGTGGAGTTAGTTATCAGTGATAAGCAACTGACCATGGTAGAGAATTCTAAAATGGGCAGCTGTGATACTGAAAACAGAATTAAATTATTGGTGGTATCTATAGATTTGGAATAAGAGTAATTACCATTATAACAATGATAATAATAGTAAACACATCAATTATACAGCATTCCATGCACAGATCTAGGTGTTCTAGATACATTATTTTGTTTCTTGCAATAATATGATGCAATAATACGAGATGGGAATCATTATATCTACATTTTTCAATTGCAGGAACTAAAGAACAGAGAGGCTCAATAACTTCTCCAGTGTTACACACTTTGCAAGTATTAGAGCCAAGGATATGAACTCAGGCAGTATGGTTCCCAAAGTAACACTCTCAATATTCAATTCTGTCACTTTAACATTTGAGTTTGACATTGATAATAATAGAAGTGGGTCTTTATTAGGATTTTTTAAAGTAAAAAAGTAGAGATTATGTAGTTTTATAATTTTCCTGGTGAAAAGTTAACTCCCTCCTCCATCCACTCTTATATCAGATGAATGGGCACCTACCAGGTACTATGATCAGTTGTTATCTGTTTCTGCCTACTTTCTGTTAGCTATATAGCTGAGGGAATCTACAGAAAGTATGGATGATTTAACACTGTCTTTTGAGGTTACATAATAAAATAGTAAAACAATTAAAGGCATGGACTATAGAACAGTTGGACTTGGGTGAAACTATCCCCTACTTTGGAGCAAAAAGCTTTTGAACCTACTTCCACATTTGTAAAAGGAGACATTCCTCATATCTTACTTAAAAGGATATAGGAAGGACAAATAAGCATAGTATTTGCTACAGAATAAATAAATGACAGAGAGAAAAAGTCCATTTTATTTGTTCACCCTCATCCCAAATTTTTCCATGCGACCTGTTGTATCAACTTATAACTTCTTTATAAACCAATAGTAGCAGTTTAGTTTATGTACACTCAGTCAGATAATAAAAGTTGAACAAAATTTATCCAATGGATTATCACTATGATTTTACTGGCTTATGTTCAAGGTTATAATAACTATGCATTGCATTTGCTAATACTTTTATGCCCAAGGCAAATGTAATTAAGGTTATCATAATCCTGTTTGTACATTCATACTTGATTGCATGTTAATGTGTGTAACTTTGAATTATACCAGTTCCTAATGGGTTTTAAAAATATTTTAATGTTTTTGTGCCATGAGTCCTTTATTGTTTTCTCAGATCTAATCTAGTCTAAGGGCAACCATTTTCTCCCATCAGCACCCATAGCATACACTGCTAATCATCGAAGTTTTCTTTCCAACTGAGCCTTGACAGATCCTCCAAATCCTTCTCAAACAGCCAAACAACTGATCAGAGTTGGTCTGGGAAACATTTGTCATCCAGGAATGAGAAATCAGAAAAGTGACATCAGTAAGAGCTAAAGAAAAAGGGAGGGTTAGTAAAGTGTTATGAAAGAGGACTTGAATTATAAAGGCTTGAAAATGCTTGGACCTAATTCATTTCATTGCACACTCCCTAAAAGATGTCTATTACTTCCTGTACCTCCACCCAGTCCTTTTCTGGCCCTAGCTAAACCTGGGATCATTAGATATCCCTTCCATTCTAATAGCTCTAAGACACACCATCAATAAAGTATTTATCTGCTTCTGTTGGCTAGAGTCCATTTCTAGTAGCTCAAATAAGAATTTTAAAAGATGCTATTCTTGTTTCTAAATTTTCCTCCAGAAGGATCAAACTAATTTACATTTCCATCAATTGTATATGAATGTGTTAAGGTAGTATTCTAAAGGAAGTAGCAAAGAATAGCCAAAAGGCAAATGGGAAATGGCAATGTTTTCATTTGAATTTGCTTGATCAGAAACATTTTCTCTTTTTTCATTGAAGCAAACTGATCTTGGCTTGCAGTTAATATCACAGTAAATAAATGACACCTCTACCTCAAAGTTAGAGAATTCATTTTTCATGGGGTTGTAATTCCCTTAGCAAACACAAATATCTTGATTATGTTCTGTGAAATTTTTCTTTATAACAGTATGCTCAGATCTCCTTTGGAGTTGTTTTGAAACTTGTCCAATCTTGCCAGCAAGTGATCATCAACTAGATGTTTCTGTGAATAAACATCCAACTTACTGCAATGATTTGCAGATATAATTGTGCCTGTCTCTGTATCTGTCTTTATTCAATTGCATATAGCAGCAACTAATATATGAGTGTAAAAATAGCTATGTATATATTATTTTGAATGGTAATTAGAAAGCAAATCACCTGTAAAGCTGATGGAAAGATTGTTAGGCTCTATTGAGCTTGAAAATTCTCATTTATGTTTAGTGTTAAATTTAAATGTAAAAAAACACAAAAGGATTAGCCAAAAAAAAATATACAGGCAGCGAGCTATGAAGATGATGGGGTCACTGACACTGAAACTGGTGACGAATGTTAAGAGTAGATTAAAGTATTTCCTTCCTTGGGAATGAAGACAGAGAAGGAAACCTGTAATTAAAGCATTTGTGTTGCGGGTAGAGGAGTCTCTAGCAGCAACGGACCTTAAAAAATATACAAGTTGACTGATTCAAATCAAAACAGAACAGATGCTGTTCAATAAAGGGAATGTTTTCAGAATTATGAGAACTAGATAAGTTCTCATAATTGTTGGTAGAAATCAGTACATCAGTTTGAAATGTTGGCAATATTCAGACAGAGGAGTGTACTTCCATTTCAACTGACAAATTTGAGTTTCAGAATCAACTATCCTCTGTGATCATTCCATTAGAAATATCACATTCTAGATAGCCAGAGTGGAACAGAAAATTAATGGTGAATGATCATGTGCAAATTTCTAAAGGGAAAAGACACTCAAAAACCATTTCTTCCCCTTTCATATCACTCTGCATACATAAATCAACTCCAATAAAAACCAGAAAATATTTATCGAACATTTATTAAGTGCAAGGCACTGTACAAGAGACTGGAGATATAGTTGTAAACAAGAGGCTCAAACTGGCTTTCCTCTCTAGAAGAGAGACATGTAATGTATTTGTGTGTGTGTACATGTGTGTGTGTGTACATATATGTGTGTGTAATATTATTTCAGCAAGTTATATGAGCCACAAAGACTGTTACAGCATGATAGAAAGTAGATGAGACCAGCTGAAAAATCATGGTCAGGAATAAGCTTTCTAAAGGTAACATTTGAGTACACTCTTGAATGAATTCAGGAAATTAGCGAAGATTTCCTTGCCAAGGAAACAACAAATAAAAACGCTCAGGTGTGGGAATAAATTTGACATGTTTGAAGATGAACATGGAGGTCTACATTTCTAAAATTAAGTGGGAGAAGGGGAGAATAGTAGGTGATGATGAAAGGGAATTATGTAGGAGCAGAACATGTAGGGTCTTGTAGATCATGATACTGAGTTTAAATGGTATTTATTTAATGAATGGAGTTTGACAGTGAGCCATTTGAGTCCTTTGATCCTAGAGTCATGATCAGCCATTTCCTTGTTTTCTACATTTTTCCCATTAGATAGAAGAGTCTGCAAGATTTTGGTGGTATTTGCCTTATTCACTGTTTATATTCCTGGTATCTAGCACTGTGTGCATGTAAAGCATCAAGCATACATTAAGCAGCTGTAGAATGTAACTGGATATAAATCTGGTTCCAAAATATTAGCAAAACTTCATGTTTTAGCTACGCTTGGCAAAAATGAAGGGAACATACTGAGGTAATTAGAACTTAGAATCAAATACATATATATTTTAGCTAAATAGATGATTGGGACAGTACTCTTGTTCCCCACTTGGGCATGAGTCTTTTTTTTTTTTCTATTTTCATAAGGGAAATAAAGCAAGATGTAAATGCTATTACTTCAGGCAGTGCCTTTGTAGACTAAACTTTGTCCTTCAAACACAGTGCTCATGTTAATTAGAATAGACCAGCAGGGAATATTAGGGGCTTAAGAAACTCTTTAGGTTGACATCACCAAAATGCATCAAATTGAATATTTGGCATATTTCTCTTCGTGATAACTGAATCATCTCAGCTTTTATTTAAGATAGCACATTAAATACAGAGTAAAAGGGCTTTGGCTCTCTTTGTAGTTTTTAGGCAAATATTAATCTAGATTTTCCCAGCAAATATAGAGGATTTTTTATTAATCAAAATGAAACTATGTTAAATAGTAAATTCTATTTACATGGTTGTGTGCTAAAGGTTGGGGAAACTTTTATTATGATTCTGAAATATTACTTCTGCCTGGACATTTCCTAACTCTTTCCCTAATTTTTATCCTAATAAAGTCATACATATTCTTCAAAATCTAGACCCAGATTAAATATATATATTGATATGACCACACTGGGCAAAATTAATTATGCAATTTTTATGTCCTCACTACCTTTCATTCATAAACTTGTCATGTTTTTCTGAATTCATCAGATCACGAGTCCATCACCTCCACTTTGTTGAGAGCATCCCTAGAGAATGGATTCAAATTCATCTTCTCCGTCTCCTCAAATTTTAGCAAAGTCTGGCATTTGATGAGCTCTTGTAAAAGACTAAATAAAACAATACACATTGATATACTATTATGTATTTTCTAGATTGGGGCTCAGGGTTTCCAATTA